>NC_000002.12:17358240-17509755 GCF_000001405.40 Homo sapiens | reverse complement strand
ACTATCAGTAGAGTAAAATATACTTTAGCCAGAGAAATAACAAAAAATGGGCTAGTTAGCAAAACGTAAGGAAAGAAAGAAGCATCAAGAAAGCATAAAAAACAGAAAGCATCTGATGGCATAAGGAGGACTAAATGTATTGATTCACAAAATAGATGTGACTGGATGAAATTATCTTATTACAAGCAAACATTCTCAGACTTACTGAAACCACCTCAAATTTGGCTCTGTTCATTAATTTCCATCCCCCACCATACACTTTCCAACTTCAATATCTTAGACTAATTTTTCTTCTGCCCTCACAGAACTCATTACCTTCTTACATGGTAATATATACCTTGCTAGAACATAAGCTCCTTGAAGGCAGAATTCTTTTCTTTTCCCCACTGATATATCCCAAGTGTCTAGAACAGTACCTGCCCCCTAGTCAATACTCCTATTATTTATCTGACTGAAGAAATAAATTTCTACTCCAATCTCATACTAGCTATGTTTTTTTGAATTCTTAATAGCTTTATGGCCCTGGGCAAGCTCCTCATTTCTAAAAAGAGGATAATATTATCTTCTGGGATTATTGTGAGGATTAAATAAACTAATACATACCACATATTGTAACAGCTCTGATACATAGTAACTACTCAATAGGGAGTACTTACTGATACATAGCAACTACTCAATAATTAATAACTACTTAGAATGTTTGACTTTTCTTGAAATTTTGTTCTGGATTTTGCATTAGATTATTTTCAGAAGTATGCTATTCTTATGAGTTTTATAAAAATGTTTCTTTTTTTCCTACAAACGTCCTCCCTTCCCTCTTCCGTCTTTTTATTATTATTAGCCCCATGTTGGATTTTTCTGTAATCATACAAGGTAAATCTCCTCACAATCAAGATCTGTCTTCACAACCTTAGTCCTTTGCCCTGTTCTCTGTCACTCTGTGTGAATATTTAATTTTGTTCTCAGCTCTGTATCTCTAGGACTGGTTTATATGCTTCTATTCTTATTCCTAGTACCATGAAGGCTTTTATGGATACTTTTGTCTTTTCTCTAATAAATAGTATATTCACTTAGAACCACTCAATGCTGGTTCTTTCATATTCTGAACTGATTGAACATGTGATAAGTTTAAACTCCTAGCACATATTGTGCTGCTTACAACGGTTTTCCATGCCACTGCCCTATTACTAGCTTTGATCGCTAGAACTTTTCTTCTAGGGATGACACCTCCCCAAATGCAAAACTTGCTCCTGCTAGTGTAATTCCTCAAGCACTCCTTCCCTAACTACCTCCAACCAAATACACAACATAAGCACACAGGACCTTCCCTTTCCTGCCTAGGTCTGTGAGTTATTTTCTCCGGAAATAGTAAGTTGGAGGATAGGAGGAAGGCAACATTTTAGCTCTTCTTGTGTTTTTGTGTCTTCATAGCCAGGTTTGGAAAGGCTGCATGGGATCCGTGGTGGAAGACATTTTAAACTGATACCCATCCTCTCTCCACCTTTTTCTTTTTTATCTTTGCTCTTAAAATGTAAAAGTTGAATGCTTTCAGATCAGAGGAAATATTTAAAGGATAAAAAGCCACTTTAAAAAGTACTTGCTTTTATTCAACTTCAGAGTGAATCTCTGCGTTACTTCAGTTTAAAGTTACAAGCCTCTGGATGCATAACTGTGAGCATGAGAAGAGAAGCAGAGCCTTATATTAAATCATCTTGAAAAAGTGATGTGGATAGTCTGTACCTTAAGTATGCAAATCTCTGAGTTACCTGTTTAACCTTATTTAGTTAAGCAAAATGGAAAACAAAATATGCAATGAAATTGATCTTTAGTTCCATCTAAATTGCCACATAAAAGAATGTTTATAGAGTCAGTCATCATTTTGGGAAATCTTTTTAATAATGCAGGCATTACACATTTACATTGACACATAATAGATTGTGGCAGAGTTTATCCTGCTAAAAATAATCTTTTAGATTAAAGAGAATAAGATATCAAGAGGATCTGAAATTATATTTTTCCCATTTTGTTGTAACACATATCATTGTTTGAAACTATCCTTGCTAGATAAGCCTATTTAACATATTCTTTTAAAAACACAGCATATTCAGAAAGGAACAGTCACTAAACCATACCACCTATCCAGGCAATGGGCAAAAAATAAACTCAAGATCTAAAGGTCTCTGTAATTTCTTCTGTAATTTCATAATTTGGAGAAACTCATAATTAAAAAAAAAAAAAAAAGAAGTCTGTGGATCTCTTTCTTGAATTCAAGACTCATGACTTTTACTCAGTCTCTCTACTGTGATGACTAATAGGCATTGCAAAGCTACCATGGCCCAAACTGAGCTTCTGATATTTGTTCCCAAACTCTTCCTTCCACAGTGTTTCTTATTTCAGTAAATGGCAATTCTATTCTTTTAGAGACGAAATGCTGGAGTCATCCTTGACACTTATTTTTTTTCTCATAACCCATGGCTGGCCTGTCAACCAATCCTATTGCCTTTGGCTTCTCTTGTCTGGATTATTGCAATTGAGTCCTAACTGATCTCTCTGCTTCAGTTCTTGCTCCCCTTCAGTCTATTCTGAACACAGTAGCCAGAATGATTCTTTAAAATATAAGTTGTAGCATATCCCAGTTCAGCTCAAAACCTTCCAAAGCCTTTCCTTCTCACTCGGAATACAAGCCAAAATTCTTACTTGGATGTATGAGGGCTATAATGATCTGACCTTCTCTTGCCTCCTTAAACTCTTCTCTGTATTTTCCCCTTGTTTATTCCTCTGAAACCACAATGGCCTTCCTGTTTCTTAGACACATTAGGTGTGTCCCTGACTCATGGCTTTTGCACTTACTTTCTTTTCCTGGAATGCTTATTCCTAGGATATCTGTATAGCTTGCCTTGTACCACCTTCCTAATAGCTTTATTCAAATGTCACCTTCAAAGTGTGGCCTTTCCTTCCTGCTAACATTCATATTCCCTTTCCCTGCTTTCAGTTTTTCCTCCTTAATAATTTACTATGGACATACTACATATTTTACTTTTTATTTTGTTTATTGCCTGTCTTTGCCACTAGGTTTTAAACTCTGTGAGGGCAAAAGTCTTTTGTGTTATATTTATTACTCTATCCCCAGTGCCTAGGACAGTGCTTGACGTAAGTATTCAATAAATGTTATTGACAAAAAATTGAATAATGAGACCAACAGCGAGTATGTCTTAAACATATCATGCTGAATAAACTTCTTGAATCATATACCTTTGTGCCCTCCTGGAATTTAAAGGTCTCTTCCCTCTTCTTTGCTATTCTCTTTTGTATTTTCTCCTTGAACCAGAGAAGTGAAAACAAAGCTTCGATCTAGATCATTTACTATGTGATCTTCTTCAGGCATTTAGCTGCCTAACGTGTCTGAATTTAAAATTAGTCTTTTTTAATGAAGAAAAAAATAAGGCAAACCATAGTAAAATTTGGTACATATTTAAAATTCAATGTCGTATCTCTTATGCCACTTAAAATCTTTGTAAACAACATCCGTATTTAAATTTTCTAATGGCCTTTTCCTTTTGAGTTAGTAAAAAACATCTATTAGAGTTTTCCAAATTTTAATTTTTGCCTTTTTACTTTTATAATTCCCCTTTAAACAGTCTTTTAAATTTTATTTACTGATTCATTTTTGAAAAGTTAATACCTAGACATGGTACAAAATACAGAGGATAAAGAACAAAAAAAGAAAGAGTGAGTATAAGTCCTTTTCTTTTTTTCCACACTCAACTTTTCAGTTTCTGTTGATGGAGGAAACAATTGTCAACAGCTACTTGCTCCTATGAAAAAATAATATTTTATTATTAATAAGCATAGAGGGTATTTTTAGTTATTATCTGTTTTATACCTATACTTTAAAATATGCATGATTGTCTTTGTATCTTACTTTTTCCTTAAATATATATTTCTATAAAGAAATTTGGTCATTATGGTATACTTAACAAATTTAATAATTTATGCATTTTAACGTGTTACAATTTTAAGGTTATAAAACTTTTTTTCAATGTTAAGAAACAGAAACTTGAAAAGTAAACTGGGCTTAGTGAATCTGACATTTCCATTAAAATTACCTTAATTTCTGAAGCAATTTTAGAAATTCTGATTTTTAACTATTTCAAATATCTTTAACACTATCTTAACAAAGTATTCATATTCCAACAAATTCAATTTTATCTGTACGCTTAATTACACAGTCCATGTCTTCGTTTTTTTTAAAAAAAAACTTTGTAATTGATTTTGCTGCCTGTCTAATTATGATTGCAATTTCTCTCCTTTATTTCACTACTATACATCCACTAGCTCAAATTGCTACTCAATTCTTTATTAAGCTTTCATCTGTATGTGCACACATTCTTTCTCCTCTCTCCTCAGAGTTTTTATCTCTTTGCCTGCCCTGCCTTCTCTCATCAGAAAGAATACTCTTAAAATGCAGAGGACTTTGGCCTTTTTTCAGTTTGCATTTTCTTTTATTTCTTTGCATCGTTAGCTGCTTTCTATTCTTGAAACTTTCACTTTATGATGATACACTACCTTTTATTTTCCTAACAATTGTATCTCTTTTGCTTTCTAATCCTCAGATATAAGGAAACTTCAAAGTATAGTCCATGGACTTTTGCTCTTTATTTCTGTGTTTTACGCTTAGAAATCTCATTCATTTTTCATGGGATCACTTACGGCCTCCACATTTACCAACTCTACAGTTTTGGAAACAAATTATGTCTATTATATCTCTCTATATATCAATTACAACTACATCAACAAACTCTATGCTTTGGAAACAAATTATACCTTTCAAATTCTAATTTTGGCAGCATAACAATAATTAAAAAAACTAATGTTTATGAAATACATGCCACGGTTCAGGAGCTATTCTAAAATCTGTATATATAAAATACTAATTTAATCTTTAAATAACCTCACAGTCAGATACCATTACTATCTCCATTTTACATTGTGAGTTAAATAACTTGTCTAAGGTCACAAAGTATTATGTTTTCAGAATTCAAACCCATGCAGTCTGCCCTATGGCCAAAGCTCTTAACTGCTGTTATATTGCTCTGATTTCCACATTGCTATAGGTCAACAACTTCAACTCAGTTGTCTAATATCTCATCAGTCATCATTCACTCTACCACCTGACATTTATTTTATACTGTCAAGTTCTGTTACTTCTTCCTTCTAAGGAACCCTTAACCAATGCATCCTTCTTCATTCTTTAGAGCCTCTATAAAGTGGCCTTACCTAATAGAACTTTCCAACTGGCCGCCCCTCAACTTCCCTACAATTTGGCTAGTCTATTAATGCACCACTTTCTCCCAACTAATATTTTCCCATTTTGCTAATTTTTTCCTCTACTGAGATGCACTTTCTTTCACCTGTTTAAATCACACCTGTCCTTAAACTACCACCTTTATACTGCTTTTCCCAACTACTTGAACATTTTATGATTGCTAAGTCCCCTGAATAATGATAGTGCTTTCTTTTTAATGCATCATCAAGCATTTATTACACCTGCTTTGTATTTTATCTTTGCCTATCTAAGCTTGGGCATAGAGATCATTTTAGAAACTTTGCAGTCTCTAAAGCAGTGTATCAGAGCTTTATACTAAAAATGTTTGTTAATTATATTTGAATGTTAATATTGCATTTATTTCATGGCATCTTATATTTGGCTTTATATTCTTATTGATAAATCTAGTAAGCTTATAGCTTTTTTTTTTTTTTTTTTTGGTTTCCAGAAGAAAATGTAACTAAATACAAAAGGCATTTTTGGCATATTTTTGTCTTTGGCCTTTTCTTGTTGACCCTGTCTTCCTCTACTTCTTAGGTCAGCTTCAAAGCACAATCCCACTTTTTCCTCACATAGTTTGTATAAATGCCTTTTAATATGCCTAACACCTACTCAAATTGAGTTGCACACATTTTTTATCCATCAATAGTACTGATTTTAGACAAAATATTATGAAAATATTTGTGTATTTTCATCAATAGGCAAAAAAGAATGTTTCACAAAACAATTTTCCTGTCTTAAAATTTGGTGTACAAAAATAATATCTTGCAAATCTGCTACTCTAACTGCTACCCTTTGAATAAATATCCTTGTTATTACTGCCACCATTATCAGTTATTAAGTGCCTTCATGAAAAAGGGCAACTTGCTGCAAGATATATAGATATAGTGCCAATAATCAACATTTGGAGGCCACTTATTTGTAGGAACAAAGGGTTTCAGCTTGCAAGAACCAAAAGCAGGACCAAGGGATTCTTTTATAGCCCGCTGGGTGGATCAGTCTTCCAGCTGGTACTTCATTTTAAAATTACTTTATTTGCTTTTAAATTTTTTATTTACTTCTAATTTAGTGGCATGTTGCTCAAATATCTTAGTATACTTTCACAAAATTTCTCTACACATCTCAAATTCCTTTTTTCTTGCAAATGACAAACTACATGCTTATTGACAGAGAAATTTAATTTGTATGTGGCAGAGTAGTATAAAATTAGCTCAATGTATAATTTTGAGATATATATGGACTTATTTCTCTAAAAACTGATTTAACTTACATATAGTTTAAAAACTTTTATTTAACAATAAACTATTTTTAACAGGAAATAAGTTTATTGAGATATAGCTATATTGATCAGAATACCATAAAGTAAGTTGAGTCTAGGAATATTTTTGAGATATAACATTCTTATTTAGATTAAAACTCTTGTTAAAAAATGGCAGAGCACAGTTTTATAAACCATTAACATTTTTATAATACTATCTTTAAAAAATTAATAGGCTTTGTTTATTAGAGTACTTTTACGTTTACAAAACTATTAAACAGAAAATACAGAGTTCCCATATAATTTCCCCCAACTCTCTCTACCCTCCAGTTTCTCCTATTATTAACATTTTGCATTGGTGTTACCACTGATAAATCAATATTGATTTATACATCATTATTAACTGAAGTTTATGGTTTACATTAAGATTTGCTCTTTGTGTTGTAAAGTTCTATGGATTTTGCCAAATGAATAATTTAATGCAACAACCATTATAGCACCACACCAAATAGTTTCAGTGCTCTAAAAATTTCCTCTGCTCCACATTCCTTCCCATTCCTATCCTAAACCTCTGCAACCCCTGACCTTTTTAATATCTCTATAGTTTTGTCTTTTCCAGAATGTCATATAGTTGGAAGCATACAGTATGTAGCCTTTTAGACCACCTTCTTCCACTTAGCAATATGCATTTAAGGCTCCCATAATGTTAACTTTTCTTATGGTGGATCTTCTCTTAGTAGAAGACTTACATCTTAAATGCTGTAGGCCTTAGCCTTTCATTATTACATTTTTTTTTCAGGAATAAAGCAAATATAGTTCAAATTGTGGCTATATCCATTCATAAACTTCTGAAAATGTTTTTTCATAGATTTTCCTTATAGGGATTCTGAGCTTCAAGGAAACTATGCTGTTAACATTGACTGGCATTTCAAAGCATGTTAAGCCTTGATAAAATGGCTCTAAAGGAGGTTTTATCTTCTTTCTGTTTGCAGAAACAGTACTTAAGAGCCAAATGTACGATAGAGTAAAATGGTCCATGGTAAGATGTTGCTGTAAAAGTCTAGGCTAGGCTTGAAAAATTCTAGTAAATGGAAATCCAATGTGCTAACCAATATAAAGGGATGTTTTAATGTGTTACTTTTGTGATGTCTTGCATAATGAATGCCTTACATGTGCTACACGAGCATCAGAATATTATTACTAATCCCAATTCTATGACTACAGGAATAATAATAATCATTAAGTATTTTTTTTAGACCCAGTAACTATCTAGCAGTTGGCCCTATGTGGGATATTCATGTGTATATCATGGCCCCTACTTTTAAATAGTATGACATTTTAGTTGACAGACTCTAAGAGGCAATATCCATGAAACACCTAGAAGAATTGTTAGGAGATTTGAGCCTTCAATTGGACTCTCTTTCATGACTTTGAATATGTCATGTAGCCTCATTTGGCTTTTAGATGTTTCCTCATTTGGCATACTGTAATCACTGAATTAACTTCTGATATTCTGCTCTGCAAATAAAATACATTGTGGGTTACTAATTGTAAATGGAAGGAGAAACTAATTGTAAATGGAAGGAGAAATACCAAGATGGAAATACAGTAAATGTAAAAAAAAAAGAATGTGTAATACTTTTAGGTATTTTAGCAACTTTTATTTTCTATTAAATGAAGATAAAAAAATAAAAATTAGGGTAGTTGCTATTATTTTTCATTTATTTCAAATAGGAAGTATCTGATTTCTTTCCCAACTCATTCATTTATTCATTTAATATTTATGTCCTCAACAAACATTTACTGAGGACATAACAGGAGTCTGGAACTGAACAAATGACTTAATTTCTATAAATTCTCTCATTTATGAAGCTCAGGTCACTTTACTTATCATTCTTTATGTACTATAGCTTTTGACAGGAATCTATTCAAGGAATGGTTTGGTCCTAACTATTAAGGAACTTGTTTTTAAATCAATTCCTGTTCTATACAAATAATAGAAAATGAACCTCAATAATGATTGCTGGATTTTCTGAAGGCTGTTGTGAAGACAGTCCCGCAGATGTGACCTATTTTCCCTATCTGGATAAAATGAAGTTTCAATTGCTTTAATGTTCATTATTATGGAGATTTGGGGGATGGAGTAGGAATTACCTGACTGACTTCCATGGAACCAACATTAGAGATAATACACATGAGATGTCTAGCATAGCTTCTGGCACATAGCAAGCATGTGGCTACTAGTAGCTAAGATTATTTACATTTTAGAAAAGAGTTTTCTCATCCTTTATAGGTTATAAATAACAAGATTACCAAAAGTTCTCTAGTCTTAATGGGTTCCACATATAAAGCATGGGTTGAGGAATATTTACCTTTATGCTGAGAAGTGTTTATTATGTATTTTGAATTTTTACTTTTCAGAATACTTGTTCAAGACACAATTCACACATTATACATGTTGGGTCAATTTATTTTAACAAGTATAGTGTATTGTGCCAGGTTCCATGGAAGACCCTTTACTATAAATAAATTAACCATTAAAAAGAATACAGCAGTTTTTTATCATAATAAAATATAAATACATAACATACAATTTATTATTTTAATCATTTTTAGGTGTGGTATATAGTTGAGTGACAATTTTGAACTTTGCCTTACTTAAAAAATATATTTTGTTCAGTTTTCCTATTTTTACCATAAGAGTGACATCATAACTTTATAACAACAGAGGGGGAAAACTCATTTTTGCATCTCTGGTTTTTGACTCAAACTGATTTTGTGGTATAATTCTTAGCTATAGTTAACACATTCCTATGTGTCTTTGAAAACTGCTTGGGAATTTGTTAGAACTTGGATGCAAAGTTCCTTTGCTTAATGGCTTTTTCTTGCAAAGACATTACACCAGGGAGAAAAGTTTTAAATTGGGATCAAATTATGAAAGTTATTGAGACTGTACTTGAAATGCAAATTAAATTGACAAAATAGTAATATTTACACATAGAAAAATACTGCGTATTAGTAAATTTGAAAGAAAGCATGAGATCTTGTTAGATTAAGATAGATGAAACACTATTCAGTTGAATAAACATCCTTGAGGATTTGTTATATACAAGGCATATCGCTAAGTACTGTGGGAGTTGGAAGGATATACAAGATAAGGAGTTTAAATCTTATTGGAGAGAAAAACGCATTCACAGGTAATACAGAACAGAGTGAACCAACAGAGTGCTATGGAGGTGCAGAAATTCTAGGGAGTGATTCTGATTGGAAAGAAGGATTTATATGAAATCTGGTATTTAAACTATCTTAAAAAATTTTTTAAAATTTTAGATTAGGTAGAGTAAGAAGATTCTATTCAGAATAGCATGAAGGTAAGCAATTTAGCTAGAGACTTATAAACGTTAGTGGTGTATTTTTTATTTTATTACTCTTTACACAAAATCATGAGAGATTATAGATTAAAAATAAAACATGTTAAAAGACTGAATTCTCTTTTTATGGTGAAAAAATATTTTTCCTTATTTTATATTTTGAAATCCTCTTTAATTTTGAGAATTTGATTTGTGTTCAATAAATCAAATTAAAAGAGGCTTTCTAGGATAGGAAGCAGTAGACTGAAATCCTAGAATTTAGAACAAATTAATTTTTAGTACTTCACACATTACAGTCTCAATAAAGAATAATGAATGCCTCATTTTCTAGTGATTCATATGCCTTTAGAGAAATTCTTTCTCTTAGCCTTCTGTGCTGAAGTATAATCCAAAAGTAAGGCATGCTACTCAAGTTTTCTTCCTTCTTACTAGTATTCAACCCAGCAATCCCATTACCAGGTATATACCTAAAGGCATACAAATTATTCTACCATAAGACGCATGCATGTGAATGTTTATTGCAGCACTATTCATAATAGCAAAGACAGGGAATCAACCTAAATGCCCAACAGTGACAGATTGGATAAAGAAAATATTATATATATGTGTGTGTGTGTGTGTGTGTGTGTGTGTGTGTATAGGTGTGTGTGTACACACACACACACACACACACACACACACACACATATATACCCTGGAATACTGTGCAGCCATGAAGAAGAACAAGATCATTGTCTTTTGCAGGAAAATGAATGGAGCTAGAGGTCATTATCCTTAGCAAACTAACACAGAAACAGAAAACCAAATACCACATCTTATCACTTATAAGTGGAGCTAAATGATAAGAACTCATGGACACAAAGAGGGGAACAACAGACACTGGGACCTACTTGAAGGTGAAGAGTGGGAGGAAGGAGAGGATCAGAAAAAATAATGATTGGGTACAAGGCTTAGTACCTGGGTGATGAAATAATCTTTACAACAAACTCCCATGACACAAGTTTACCTACATAGCAAAACTTCCACATGTACCCCTAATCTAAAAGTTAAAAAAAAAGTAGACTGTAAAGAAACCAGATATTAATAAATTTTTAAATATATGAATATTCATTTCAGGCATATAATTATGTGATAGTTAAAATGTTTCACAAAGCAATCTATTTATGCCTATGTTTATATATATATATATGTACAGACCTATATTTTAATGCTAGTTTTATTTATCCTGAAGCCCAGATTGCTAAATTAGTAGAAAAATTTCTATGTTAATTACATAGAAAATATTTTAAAAATTAAAACACAACCTTCTCAAGTTATTTTTCAAGTTGTCACTGGACAAGATTAGAATAATGAGGTAAGATATGACAAGGTTCACCACTATGTGAAAAGGGATTTTATCCAACATTCATCCCTAAAATTGAGTTCAAAATGAATGATTATCTCACTGCATTCCTAACTGCAGACTGTAAGAGGTAAAATTTATTTAATAATGGGGATTAAACATTTTTAAAGAAATATTTGACACATGGATTCAATATGATTTAAAACTTTAAGTTTTGTAACATTGCTGGGCCTTCAGCCATGAGACTTCCCAGCTTTGAAAATTATAGAACTTGACAAAAATATGCCTGTCCCCTTTTTCTATTCTGAAGCAAGATAGAGAAATAAAAATCTTTCTCCCAAAAAGTGTGTGCTACTTTTCAGCCTCACTAATGAGAGTTTATGTTGGATATTCATTTTTCTGACCTAATAATTTAGTTATTTCAATATTTCCTTCTGACCTGAGCACTATGGAAAAACGTAGACCAGTACCTCTTTCTCTGACATATGGAGACATAGTCAGCAGATTGAGTTGTGGTTTTTATAGTAGAAAAGGAACCAGGCAAGAAATAAAATAAATGCATCATCATGACTTTTGGTTGCATTGTACCCAGCATTTCCAAATAGCATGTGAAATAAACTGAAAGCAGAAGCAGAGTGTTGTAGGAGAAAGGACATGGATTTTTGGAGATAGAGAGATCTGATTCTCACCCATAGCAACCTGTTAGATTTTCTGTGTCTTCATCTGCAAATTGTTGACAGTAAAATATATCTTTCAGTGTTTCTATCAGAATTACAGATAATTCTTACAAGTTGTCCAATAGGGTGACTGGTACATGATAAACATTTAATAAATGGTAGCAATTAATATTTAACTGAGCTTGTCATAAAACAGTTGCTCAAATGTTTATTATTTTTACATAATATTATTATCATTTTAAATAATATTAAATAATGTAATGTTTATTGTAATAATAATTGTGATATCTAGTGCTTAGATACTTAGCTAATCACTGTTTAATAATTATTCAAAAATCTTTGTTGAATAACTACTATGTATAAGACTGGTTGTAGGTACTTGGGATACGTCAGTGAAAAAAACAGACAAAATTTTCTGCTCTTGTGGACCCTACATGCTAGTGGAGGCAGGGACAATAAACAAGAAATGTAAAAAATAAAGTAAATTATACAATATGTTAGCAGGTGGTAAGCCGATGCAGAATGGGGTAAGGATTAGGGTGGTATGTTGGGGATGAGATATAATATTAAATAGAGTCGTCTGGGTAGAGTTCACTGAAAAAATAAGATTGAAGCAAAGACTTGAAGGAAGTGAGACAGTAAGATCTGACATGATTTGAAAGGATCACTTTGAGTGTTTGTTGTGAAACAGGTGGGAAACACCACTTGTTAGAAGGTGAAATAGAGCAGAAGACCGGGAGAAGATGGCCATAGAGTTGGTGAGAATTGATTGCATTCTGGATATATTTTGAAGATAGAAGCAAAATAATTTTCTGACATTGGGTGTGTGGTATAAGAAAAAAACAAAGTCAGGGATAACTAAGATGTTTGGCCCCAGCAACTTAATGGATACTGTTGCTCTTAAATTAGAAGCAGTAGGCTGACAGTGGAGAAGGTTTAGGGGGTTGATATCAGGAAGTTTGGCTTTAGACATTAAGTTTGAGATGTTTATTAGATATCCAAGTGGAGAGGTTGTTGAAGATGCAATAGGATATATAAGTCTGGAGCTTTAGAAAGACGTACATGTTAGAGATACAAAGCTGGGAGTCATCTGCTCATAGAAGGTGTTTAAATTTGCAAGAATACTGTGATCACCAAGGAAGTGAATGTTCACAGAGAAGAGGACTAAGGATTGGGATGCTCCAATACTAAATGGATAGTGAAAAGAAGATAAATCAAAGGAGAAAAATAAGATTATAGAAAAACCAAGGGAGTGTAATAGTTTGACAGCCAACTGAAGAAAGTGTATCACTCTCTTCTTAATCCAGATTAATGACAGAATTTAGCAATGTGGAGGTCATTGATGCCCTTGAGCAGAATGGTTTCAGTACAGTGATGAGGCAAAGCCTGACTAGCATTAGATTAAGAAAGAATGGTAGAGAAATAGGCCATGGAGAGTGCCAACAACTTTCTCTATTCCCTGCAAACAGAATAGAGAAATGAGAAAGACAATAGAGAAATGGAGTTGAGGTAACTATGGGGAAAGGGGGGAAGAGGATTTTTTTTAAAAACATGGAGTAAATAATAGCTTGTTTGTATGATGATGGGAAATTTGTATGGTCATGGGAACTTGACGTGGGAGACAAAGAAAAGACTTTTTAGAAACTGGTCAATGAGTAGGCAGAAGGGATGGTATCTAGAGAACTTGAGGAATAATTGGCTTTAGGTAGGAGCCTGAAAATTTATTATCTTTGGTAACAGGCGAGAAGGTAAGTGGGTATAGATGTGATTGTGAAAGTCTCTGGATGTTCTCTTTTGATTATTTTAAATCCTTCATAATGTAGGAAGTTGTTTTTTTCTGCTGAGATTTATGTTGAGGAAGGAACTGTTGATAGGATTTCCAAACGGAGCAGAAAATATGAAATAGTTGTCAAGGAGAGTAGGAGATGAAATTGACTCAGGCTCTGTGGTATGTTTGCCTGGCATTGTTAAGTTCCCATTTAAGGTTGATTGTCTTGAATTTAAAGTGAGAGTAGTCATGTATGGGCTTGCATTTTTCTCCAGTCATGTTCAACTTCATGTATTCAGGGTCAGAGTGGGTAGAGGATTGGCTATAACCAGTGGTATGACTTTGCCAGGCAAATTTAAAACAGAAAAAGAGAGTAAAGGAAATAGAGAATATATGCAAAGCATGATTTTCAGCTTTATTATATAATCTAAATTGGGTGAGGAACAGAGTAAGGACATCAAGGGAGAATTAGGGATGATAAAAGAGCGGTAGGATTAATGACTTGGAAGTTCCAGAGGGACCCCAGGATTACTGGGTTTGGAAGACTATAGGAAATGAGCTGATAAGATAGGAGATTGTGGTCAGAAAGTGAGATGCATGAAACTGAAATTATGGAGAAGTTTCTATATAGGATATGTCAATGTGGAAGAGTGACTGAGGTAGTGCAGGAAGATTATTATTATAAGAAATCAAGTAACTAAGAGGCTAGAATGCTATAAGAATTATTTGTATATACATAGAAATCACCAAGAATTAAGAAAGGTATAGTACTAAAGGGTGACAGAGAGCCAGGCAAAATTGTTGAGAAGTGAGGTGGGTGACTTGGGGATGTACAGACAGCAACAATGATGGGGTAGAGGGTGATATAACTTGATAACCTGAGATTCAAAGCTATGCATTTTTAGGAAGGAGAGAGGGAGAAGACTTGAATGCTGCAAAGAGAAACACGAAGAGCATTTACCCCACTGCAGGCTCAGTTGCAGAGGTGCTGTGGGAGAAAAACCATCCTCTTTTTGAGAAAGTTGCAAGAGGAGCAGTGTTCTTAGGAGACAGCTAAGTTTCCTTTGGTCTAGTAAGGGAAAGGGTAATGTTCAGCAGAAGGCTGACAACTTAAGAGATTCATGGGGCAGAAATACAAAGACTGAGGACAACAGGTCATGGGGGCTGTTGGAGACGATACTCAGATAACTGAGTATACAGATGGAGAAGAGCGGACCTAGGAGAAGCTGAGACCAGCTTATTTAGGCTTGGTGCTATCAGCAGCTTCGCAGAATCTGTCGCAGTCTGTACCTTCTACCTCATGCCTGTTCCCACTTTGTCCCGTACTTGAAGTCACCTAGTAAATTAATAAATAAGTTATATGTCATTTTCTCATCAATAATGTCATACACAGAATGGTAGACATTCTTAGAATGACCTGCATAATGCCCAGTTTCCTTGAGAAATTTATGTTAGGAATTACCCTGACTACTCTTCCCACTAGCTTTTGGGGCAGTGCATCTGCACCTCACAGGAGTGAGACTCTCCATGTTCAAGAATTCTTTGCTCCATCTCATATCCCATATTCACACTTTCTTCTTTCTGAAGACCCCATAAATATCAAGAATAGGGTGTCAGGCATGAAAAAATGGTCATCATCACTGGCCATCAGAGAAATGCAAATCAAAACCACAATGAGATACTATCTCACACCAGTTAGAATGGCAATCATTAAAAAGTCAGGAAACAACAGGTGCTGGAGAGGATGTGGAGAAATAGGACCACTTTTACACTGTTGGTGGAACTGTAAACTAGTTCAACCATTGTGGAAGTCAGTGTGGCGATTCCTCAGGGATCTAGAACTAGAAATACCATTTGACCCAGCCATCCCATTACTGGGTATATACCCAAAGGACTATAAATCATGCTGCTATAAAGACACATGCACATGTATGTTTATTGCGGCATTATTCACAATAGCAAAGACTTGGAACCAACCCAAATGTCCAACAATGATAGACTGGATTAAGAAAATGTGGCACATATACACCATGGAATGCTATGCAGCCATAAAAACTGATGAGTTCATGTCCTTTGTAGGGACATGGATGAAGCTGGAAACCATCATTCTCAGTAAACTATCGCAAGGACAAAAAACCAAATGCCGCATGTTCTCACTCATAGATGGGAATTGAACAATGAGAACACATCGACACAGGAAGGGGAACATCACACTCTGGGGACTGTTGTGGGGTGGGGGGAGGGGGGAGGGATAGCATTAGGAGATATACCTAATGCTAAATGACGAGTTAATGGGTGCAGCACACCAACACGGCACATGTATACATATGTAACCAACTGGCACATTGTGCACATGTACCCTAAAACTTAAAGTATAATAAATAAATAAATAAAAAGAATAGGGTGTCAGGGCCTGGTGGGGTGCTGGAGGAGCATATCTTCTCACTAATCTTAGGTGTTGTTGCTGAGCTTGCAAGCTTGGAAAGAGGTTAATGGCATTCCTGTTATGTTAATTTACAGATGTATTGCTTCATGGACAGACAATGTGGCCTATACTATCACTACATTTTATAATACATTGAGATATACTTTGTGGGCTATTACATGATTAATCTTTGTAAATATGTCATAGACATTTGGAAATAATGTATTATTTTAGACATTGGGTATAAAGTTGTGTCTAATAATAAATCTAGCATGGTCATTATAGAATTACATTTCTCTTTATTTTAGTTTCTAAAAGAGGTATAATAAAATTTCCACATGATCCAATCTTTGTTAAACCTCCTTGGATCAAACTTTTTTTTCCATTATATATTTTGCTCATGTGTTGTTTGGTGAATAAAGGTTTATGGCTGTTAAAATTTATTTGTGTGTTTATCTTTTTTCAATATAAAATTTTCTTTTTTGTTACATTGATGATTTTGCCCTTCATTCTGTTTTGATATTAACATTGCCACTCTTGATATAAATGTGATATTATTTGACAGAAATATCTTGATATTTCTATTATTTTCAATCCCATTCTATCATTTCTTAAAAAATGTTTTTAGGATAAAAAGAATAATAAAAAAGTGAACTTCTATATTTATTTTTAAAAATCATATGTGAGGATCTTTTTAGAATAGGGGAAATTCAGTTGTATTTACTGTATTCACTTATACGCTTTCTCTTTTTTGTGATCTTATCTCTTCCTTATATTATGATTTTTGATTTGCCTATATTTAACCCATTTTCTGACTTGTCCTGGATGATAATTTTTCCAATTTTCTTTCCCTTCTAGTATTTTAGAAATTCTAAATGTTACTTCTATTAGTACAGTGGTTCTCAATTGTAGTAACCCATCAGAATCACATGTAGACTTTAAAAAAAATGCTTCTTCTGAGCTCAAAGACCAAATTTACTGAATTAAAATCTTTCTGGTTGGGGCCCAAGCATTTGCATTTTAATAAAACATCATAGATGATTAAGATGTACAGCCAGTGTTGAGGATCACTATTTTAGTGCTAACCCAAATCCCTAATTAGGTTTTAAATAATTGGATGCATTTAAAATTTCAACATATATTTTATTAACATAGATAATTAAACAGTATATATAAAACTTCCTCTCTCTTATCCACTCAAATAAGATGAGACTGTTAGGACATCTTTTTTTTTTGCTCTTGATATTCTTCTTCCCCCTCTACTACAGTCTTGAATCATCTGAAATTCTTCAGAGTTTAAAAAAATGCCTCTTTTGTTTTTAGAACTCATTTCTTAACAACTAAGTAAATATACACATTTCATTATACTTCATGTGCATTGTCGATACTTTTTTTGAATGGAACTGTACATTTTGCTTGTTCCTTTTCTCACCATTGTGTTTTTTTTTCTCTCAATATTTATTCTGCTTCTGCTTTTTCATTATGAAGAAATATATTCTCTAAATTTTTTTCCAGAAAAAAATAAAAAAGTGATAATGCATTACTGCTATCTTAGCTCCTAGTATTTCTTCTACCTTCTCTCAGTAACACACTTTCCTTTAGAAAATTTCTTCTTCAACACTATTCCTTTGAAATGACCCCAGTAGAGCTGGTAGTTACAGTATCCTATGCCTGTGACCACAGATATGGGTAGCTGATCTATGTCTGGCCAATCATAGTACAACATCACTCTGATCACAAGGATTTCTTTCTTTTTTCTTTTTTTTCAATAATTAGATGTATGATTCAAGTTATATCAGAATCTTTTCAGGGGACTTATATGTACTGATATAATTCTTCTGTTTTTATTAGTGGAATGTGTTAAATCAGAGTAGTTTGAACCAAGTTTTCCCTATCTCCTGTGATAAGGATGAAAGATACTCATTGGGAAAGAGAAAAATTCTGAAAGAGAGAGAGTTGATGATAATTGTTGAGACCCTGGTGCGATCATGCCTGAGGCCCACCCATCTTTTCCTTCCCTGTTTTATGAGCCAATAGAGTCTCTCTTTTGTTTAAACTTGTTTGAATTAGATTTATTTCACTTGCACCTAAAATAATCCTAAGCAGGGCAGGTAGAATATTTTCTTTGTCTTTGCATGTTGGAAATCATCTTAATTTTCTCTTCATACTTGAAAGATAGTTTCTTTGGGCAAAGAATTTTATGTTTAGAATCCTTTTCCTTTAGTCCCCTATAGATATTTGTCCATTCCTCTCTCCCCACCAAATATTGATATTTGTTCTACTCTATTGCCTTTTCTTCTCCAAAGCAAGCATAATTTTTGTTTTTTTTTTTTTAGAGTTCAAAGATTTCCCTAAGATGTATCCAGGTGTGTTTTTTTTTTAATACTAGCTTCTAGCACTTGCACAGTTCTTCAAAATCAAAATAGTGCTCAATGCCAGTACCATGTTCAACTATTAATAGGAACTTAGGAAGAAATTGAATCCCTGAATAGACCAATAACATGTTCTGAAATTGAGGCAGTAATTAATACCCTACCAACCAAAAAAAGGCCAGGACTGGACAGATTCATAGCCGAATTCTACCAGAGGTATAAAGAGGAGCTGATACCATTCCTTCTGAAACTATTCCAAACAACAGAAAAAGAGGGATTCCTCCCCAACTCATTTTATGAGGCCAGCATCATCCTGATACCAAAACCTGGCAGAAACATAACAAAAAAAATTCAGGTCAATATCCATGATGAACATCGATATGAAAATCCTCAATAAAATACTGGCAAACTGAATCCAGCAGCACATCAAGACGCTTATCCACCATGATCAAGTCGGCTTCATCCCTGGGATGTAAGGTTGGTTCAACATATGCAAATCAATAAACATAATCCATCACATAAACAGAGCCAACGACAAAAAACACATGATATCTCAATAGATGCAGAAAAGGCCTTCAATAAAATTGAACACCCCTTCATGCTAAAAGCTCTCAATAAACTAGGTATCGATGGAACATATCTCAAAATAATAAGAGCTATTTATGACAAACCCACAGCCAATATCATACTGAATGGGCAAAAGCTGAAAGCACTCCCTTTGAAAACCTGCACAAGACAAGTATGCCCTCTCTCAACACTCCTATTCAACATAGTATTGGCCATAGTTCTGGCCAGGGCAATCAGGCAAGAGAAAGAAATAAAGGGTATTCAAATAGGAAAAGAGGAAGTCACATTTTCTCTGTTTGCAGATGACATGATTGTATATTTAGAAAACCCTATTGTCTCAGGCCAAAAATCTCCTTAAGCTGATAAGCACCTTCAGTAAAGTCTCACAATATAAAATCAATTTGCAGAAATCACAAGCAGTCCTGTACTCCAATATTAGACAGAGAGCCAAATCATGAGTGAACTCCCATTCACAACTGCTACAAAGAGAATAAAATACTTAGGAATACAACTTGGACATCTTCAGGGAGAACTACAAACCACTGCTCCAGGAAACAAGAGAGGAAAAAAACAAATGGAAAAACATTCCATGCTCATGGATAGGAAGAATCGATATCGTGAAAATTGACATAGTGCCCAAAGTAATTTATAGATTCAATGCTAACCCCATCAAGCTACCATTGACTTTCTTCACAGAATTAGAAAAAACTACTTTAAATTTCATATGGAACCAAAAAAAGAGCCAGTATAGCCAAGACAATCCTAAGCAAAAAGAACAAAGCGGGAGGCATTACACTACCTAACTTCAAACTATACCAAAAGGTTACAGTAACAATAACAGCATGGTACTGGTACCAAAACAGATAGACCACTGGAACAGAACAGAGGCCTCAGAAATAACACCACACATCTACAACCATCTGATCTTTGACAAACCTGACAAAAACAAGCAATGGAGAAAGGATTCCCTATTTAATAAATGGTGTTGGGAAAACTAGCCATATGCAGAAAACTGAAACTGGACCCCTTCCTTACACCTTATACAAAAATTAACTCAAGATGGATTAAAGACTTATACATAAGACCTAAAACAATAAAAACCCTAGAAGAAAACCTAGGCAACACCATTCAGGACATAGGCATGGGCAAAGACTTCAAGATTAAAACACCAAAAGTAATGGCAACAGAAGCCAAAATTGACAAACGAGCAAAAGAAACTATCCTCAGAGGGAACAGGCCACCTACAGAATGGGAGAAAATGTTTGCAGTCTATCCATGTGAGAAAGGGCTAATATCCAGATTCTACAAGGAACTTAAACAAATTTACAAGAAAAAAAAGCAACTCTATCAAAAAGTGGGTGAAGGATATAAATAGACACTTCTCAAAATGAGACATTTATGCGGCCAACAAACATATGAAAAGAAGCTCATCATCACTGGTCATTACAGAAATGCAAATAACAACCACAGTGAGATACCATCTCATGCCAGTTAGAATGGCAGTCATAAAACAACAGATGCTGGAAAGGATGTGGAGAAATAGGAATGCTTTTACACTGTTGGTGGGAGTGTAAACTAGTTCAACCATTGTGGAAGACAGTGTGGCGATTCCTCAAGGATCTAGAACCAGAAATACCATTTGACCCAGCAATTCCATTACTGGGTATATACCCAAAGGATTGTAAATCATTCTACTATAGATACACATGCACACGTATGTTTATTGAAGCACTATTCACAATAGCAAAGACTTGGAACCAACCCAAATGCCCATCAAGATAGACTGGATAAAGAAAATGTGGCACATAAACACCATGGAATACTATGCAGCCATAAAAAAGGATGAGTTCATGGATGAAGTTGGAAACCATCATTCTTAGCAAACTAACACAAAAACAGAAAACCAAACACCGCAAGTTCTCACTCGTAGATGACAGGTTTTGGGTGCAGCAAACCACCATGGCATGTGTATACCCGTGTAACAAACCTGCACATTCTGCACATGTATCCCAGAACTGAAAGTATAATTAAAAAAATAGAAACAATAAATTTTTTGAGGTACAAATAACCAACTTGAGTTTATCTTCAGCTCAAATTTTCTTCTATTATACATTTATTTTTCTATTTTCCAATTTCTATTAAATAGATGTTGAATTTCCTAATTGCATTATATCTTAACCTTTCTCAGAAAATTTCCTTTTGCTTTGATGTTTTGCAATATGTTCTGGAAGCATTCTGTGGCTTTCCAAATTCCTAATTAGGTTTTAAATAATGGGGGCATTTTACCATTCAGTTCTGCTGTAAACTTTTTCTTGTTTTACCATGTTTTATCTTCCTAAAATCCTTTTTTCATGCCATTTTTAATAGGTCCCTGTTTTTATTTAATGCTTGTAATATTCTCTAGAATTCTTCAGATAATATTTATTTTTTCAAGGTTTAATTCTGTTTTCTCTATTTCCATGATGGTTATTTGTCTTGCTTCTCTAAATGAGTAGTTAGTACAGTTCTGCCTTTTCAGACTGTTGTCTTTCCCCAAATGTCTGATAATTCATGGTGGTATAATCCTATTTGTAAGTAAAAGACTGGTTTGGTGAGTACTGACAGCCACTGTGGGATTTCTTAGCCATTATGATAGTTGGTTTGGATTTTCCTTAGTAGGAAAATCCTAATCCTGACTGACGAATGCAGAGCTCTGTGGCTACAAATGAAGTCTTGCCAATATTCAGGCTTCCATTAAGGTTGTGTGGGAAGGAAACAAATTGACACACTGGTGAATTCCCGAGATGGAGCATATAGACAATTCCATAACTTGAAGGTAAAGTGCTTTAGGAAATTTCATTACTATGCTGAGCCAAGCCTACTGACTTTTGTTTATTTTCTTTAATATCTGTTGAGGACACCAAGTGTTCTTGAGAACACTGCCCCACTTCTCTGCTTGGCCCAATTTTCAAATTAAGAGCACTCTTTTTTCCAGCCCAGCAGTTCTCCAATTTACTTTGAAAGTAATTCCAAAGGTTGTTCAATGTACAAACTTTGGGAAATGTGCCTATTTTATCTTTCTATCATCTTCATAGGATTTTCAGAGAAAGGAGAAGGAAAGAGTATGGGCTCAGTGTACCATATGGAATTGAAAGTTGTATATAGTTGTTTTTCTTCTTATTGTTTGTTTCCACTGCATAAAACACTGAAAATAAACTAATTGAGTTTGCAATTCAGCTTTCCCAGGCAGAAGGTTCTACTTCTTTTTCAAAATGCTGAATATTTGTATCTGCCATTGTGTCCAAGTTATTTTTTATCTTCACTAAACAATACTACTAGTAATGTTGGTGATGGTCGGGCAAAAACTAAAAGGGGTCTTTTAAATTTAAATAGTCTTGTGATATGGTTTGGGTCTGTGTTCCCACCCAAATTTCATCTCGAACTGTAATCCCCATGTATTGAGGGAGGGACCTGGTGGGAGGTGATTGGATCATGGGGGGCGGTCTCCCCCATGCTTTTCTCAGGACAGTGAATGAGTTCTTATGAGATCTGATGGTTTAAAAGTGCATGGAAGTCCCCTCCACCTCCCCTGGCTTCTTTTTCCTGCCATCATGTAAGACGTGCCTTGCTTTCCCTTCACTTTCTCATGATTGGTAAGTTTCCTGAGGCTTCCCCAGCCATAAGGAATTGTGAGACAATTAAACTTCTTTTCCTCATAAATTACCCAGTCTCAGGTAGTTCTTTATAGAAATGTGAAAATGAACTAACACGCCTTGTCAGATAGAGTGAAACCTTGCCTTCAAATTCAAATGTCCTGTCAAAAGCTAGAAGCCCACTGGCTGCTATTAGGAATATAACTTCATGGACCTGCTCTTTAAGTTTTCATAGGCTCCAGATAGTCCTGCTCTATTACCTCTGACCCTTAGACCCTGTCCTTATCTTCAACTTTCCTGACCCCACTGTTTTTTCTTTGGATTAGGAGGATATGCTTCTTTGCTCAATGATGAATTCAGAATTTCTAAAAACGTTATTACCTTGCCTACTTTATTTTAATTCTTCGAGATAAATCATTATTTTTGTCTTCATCTGTTAAATGGGACAAATAATATTGCACTAGACACCCTTGATGGGCTAGCCCAAGTGTATTTTCCAACTCCATCTTCCTTTGTTGTCTTAACAATAGAAGTTGAAAAAGTTAAATGCTCATTTCCCCATCCCCTGCCCCTAGCTTTCTTGCAGTTGGGAGTAGGAGAGCACATGATTGTTCTGGCCAGATAAAGTAAGAATTCTGCTGATGTCTTCTAAGAAAGCTTTTGATTTCCTGATAAAAGAAACAATATCTCTAGCATTCCTTGAAATTTCCCTGTTGTTCCTTCTGTGGGCATAGCCTGGAACTACGACAGCCACCTGGGACCATGGGACAATAAAGCAACACACAAAGGATGGAAGCTTAGAAAGACATTATTGAGGTGCTGTGCCACATTGGGTGATAATTATCATTAGTATATATTATTCAAATCTATTATTTATGTCAAGGATGGTGCTTCCTAATGTTGCTGTATCTGTGACATTCAATTGTATTTAAAATGAACAGCTTTAAGTGATGTAAATGGCCATTATCTAGATATCTAGTAGAGACTGGAAAAAATATTTAATTCTATTTGTAATACTTAAAATCTATGTGAGTAATTGTTTCACTTTGATTCTAAACTGTATGTTAGAATTCATCAATCGCAAATATTTAATACGCCTAGCTTAATGTTTGTGGACTAGACACTCTTAACATATTTACCTAAAATTTTATAGTTTATGTGTCATTTATTGACTGGAATTGTTTGTATATGAAATACAACATTTTATAAGTTCAAGCCAATGGTCAAATATGGCTGGTGGAAAGGACTCCTGATTCGGAGTTTGAATATGGGTCTAAATCAGGAATTAGTTATTAAGATTTGTTGTTCTGAGCAATGACTTCAAATATTTGAATTAGAATTTTTCTCATCTGAAAATTTGAGACAATACTTATTTAACAGGGTTGGTGTGAGTATTAATTTAGATAATATAGGCATACATTCAAACCACAGTGCTTGCCAGACAAAAACTTAGACTTTGTTTATTTAAAAAGTGAAAACCTATAAAAAACATAGTGCAACATCTTTCTGAATAAATTTTATCCTTTTAAGGCAACAAATCTCAGAATGGACACATTAAGCAATATGAAGTATAAGGTAAAGTTAATACATTATAGCTTGCTATTAGCTTTATTTTCTCAAATAGTACTCAGATATTATCCATATATTCTTCTGACTATTAACAAAATAAGATATCTTATGTAAAACAAAGCAAACAGTCTGAATTATGCAGAAAATTGAGCCCAGAAAATGTTAGGCTGTATAGAATCACCTATAAGTAAATATATACTAGTTCTACAGTACTTAAACTGTATCAGTGAATTGAATCTACATCAGGGTAACATAGCATTTAACATAGAATCTCCATGATGTTAGGTGTTTAGTAATTATAAAAACAAAAGAAAAAAGAGTTCTATTTGTTTTACTTGCTTTAAGTATATTTAGCTGGGCAAATCTTTTTTTTTCTTCTTTTTTTCTTCTTTTTTTTTGTTTTTGAGACAGGGTCTCGCTCTGCTGTGTAGGTTGGAGTGCAGTGGACATGCTCGTGGTTCACTGCAGCCTCAATCTCCTAGGCTCAAGCGATCCTCCTCCCTCTGCCTCCTTAGTAGCTGGGACTACAGGTGTGTGCCACCATGCCTGGCTAATTTTTGTATTTTTTGTAGAGATGGGTTTTTGCCATGTTGCCCAGGCTAGTCTCAAACTCCTAGGCTTAAGCAATCCACCTGCCTAAGCCTTCCAAAGTGTTGGGACTATAGGCATGAGCCATAGATAGCACTTGGCCTTTCTTCTATTTTTCTTTGTTGTTTAAAATATATGTTTGAAATACCAGAAGCAACCCATGGAAGAAAAAAATAAGATGAAAAGTGGTGGAGTTTTGAAAGAAATAATGTAGTATAACTTGGTTGTGACAAGGTTAACACTATCTTCTATGGGAAACTCTTGAATATGAAATAACTTCATAGAGAAAATGATCATAAATTAATATATTGAAGCAGTGTTAGACTATGTTTGGCTCTTCAACATTTTAAATTTCTCTAAGAACCATATACAACTCTTTTAGAAATAGTTTGATATGTGAATGTGACAGCTAGTTGATTCTCTGATTCTATGGTATAAAATAAAGAACTTCATTTATAAAGCAATAATAAATGAATGACTTTGCCTTGATAACAAAGTCTTGGTCTCCTTTAATCTAAGATAGTATATTTCTCTTTTGCTTAATCATTTTTTTTCATGTCACTTTCCACGAGAAATTGAGATTAATAGGGACTAAGAGTAGACTCACACAGTGTAGTGATTGAAAGCACAGTCTCCGGAGCTAAGTGGCCTGGGTTTGAATCCTGGCTCCACTGCTATATATGTGATCTTATTCATATTACTGAAACTTTCTTTAGCTTGGTTTCTCCATCTGCAAAATAGAAATAATTAGAGAATTTTTTGTATAGCAGGGGTGTCCAATCTTTTGACTTCCGTGGGCCACACTGGAAGAAGAATTGTCTTGGGCCACACATACAATACACTAACACTGACAACAGCTGATGAGCTAGAAAAAAAAAAATCCTCATAATGTAATGTTTTAAGAAAGTTTATGAATTTGTGTTGAGCTGCATTCAAAACTGTCCTGGGCCATATGCGGCCTGTGGGCCAAGGGTTGGACAAGCTTGTTGTAGGGATTACACTAATTGTACTTACAAAGTTCCTAGCACATTGTAAGAGTGTTTTAATAAATAGTTGATATGCATAGTGGTTAAAGATTATCACCCTGGTGGAGCCTGGAAGGCTCTCCCCGTGCTCTCTTTTCCCTCTACCTTAGCCAGTGAGTTTCATTAATAGTGCTGACAGGACAAAGATGGATATCATGATGTAAACAACATGGTGCCAGTAGATTTTAGAGATGAAATGTAAAGCTTGAATAAAAACTATTTTTAGCCCTAAATATGTACACAGAGTTCCATCATGGCTAGAGTTCTGCTATGTGAGATACACATGGGAGTAATGCAATCCTAATAATAGAAGGTTCTTACTTTTAAAAAAGTAAAATTTGTTTTAGCCTTGCATTTAGATTTGCCAGATATTTCTCAGAAATAGTTATGTTCCTAAAATGATATTACAGATACTAGATAAATCAGCTGACCCTTTCAGGCCCTGGATATCTAGTGATACCAAAATATGGCATGTTAGGGAGTTATTCATGCAAATTCATGAATTTGGAGAGCTTAAAATGAATTATGACATATAATAGCCTCTTTTATCCTAGTCTTATACTAATTTAGGTGATTAACGATATGGGCTTAATTTCCCTGAATGGCCACTATTTAGGAGGAAGCCACTCACTCAGGCCTCTATTTGCCTCATGACAGCGGGAAACACAATGTAAAATAATGGAACTGTGACTCTGTAGGAATTGACTAATTTAGTACTATGTAGGCCCTTGAGTTGTGATTTTGCTCCTCCCCCAGTCTAATAGCAAAAAAGTTAATGGATTCTGGTTTCTTCTCTGGTCCCTCAAATTTTAAGCTTTGTGTGTTACATCAACCACCAAACTCTGGACTGCTAAAATTTAGAGAAGCACAAGGGAGCTATGTCTACTTACATGTATACTTACTTTCTGACTTTTGCCCACTTGTTTGCTGGTTTGGCAGTTAGCCATAGTGAAATCAACTTTAAACAATTCTGAGTTATCATTCTCTTCATCATTTGAATCAGATCAGCCCTTTGTGGTTTGACCCCGCTCAGCCTTGTAATGGAAATGTAGTGAGTTAGGCACTCTTGGGTAACATATGCTAAATCAGTACTGCATATCGAAAAATCAATTCCAACTTATAAAACTAGCCCAAAGAAGCATAACTTAAAATAAAAAGAAATTAATTTTGAGCCAGGAAGAAATACACACTGTTCTGCCCACGACACTTTAACAAGGCTGGCAAATTGATACTTCCATGCCCTCCACACATGAAAATATGCCCTGAAAACAGGAAGCAGAATCTGCCTAACGCATTTTCCTTATCTCTACTTCATATTTTCAGCTACTCAGGCCAAAGTTCTTGCAATCATTTTTACCTCCCCTTCTGTTCTTTCTTCTCATCTCCAAATCTTTTGGCAAATCATATTGGCTCTACCTTCAAAATCAATCCTCACTAGGCCTTGTCACCTCCGTTGCCACCATTGTCTCCCTGGATCAATGCAATAGCCTCCTTATTGACCTCTCTTTTTAACCTTTTGTTACTCCTCCTACCTATTATCAACAGAACAGCAATAATGATCCTGGTAAGGCACATGAGAATATGCCACTCATTTGCTAAAACCCCTTCAATGGCTCCGACCTGCCTTACTGACCATCATGATCCTATATTATCCGGCTCCTGGAAGACTTTTTGACCTCATCTGTTAGTATTGTTCTGCTTTGCTCAATCTGGTTCAGCCACACTAGCCTCCTTGCTAGTCCTCAAACAATCAAGCATTTTCCCATCATAGGCATTTCTTCTGTTGATCCTGCTGGATGGAAGAATTTTCCCAGATATCCTCATGACTTGCTCCCTCCCTTCCTTCAGGCCTCCGCTCAATTATCACCGTCCTATTGACATCTGTCCTCTTCACCCCATTTAGAACTGACATCATGCCCCAATTGCTTTATCTTCTTTCTAGTTTTATTCTTTTTCAAGGACTTACTGCTATCTAAAATATTTCATTTACTTATTTATTATGTTTGATGTCTGACTTTCCTCACTAGAATATGAGTTCTGTGAAGCCAGGGGTTTTTGCCTGTTTTATTAACTGCTATCGTCTCAGCATCTAAAATAATACCTGATACATAACTGCTCAAGAAATGTTTGTTGAATGAAGGCATCAGAAATTTATTTCAGATTCTAGTTCTATATCATGTATCATGGGTTGGTATATATAAATATGTCCAAGTTAGCAGGAAAAAATTACATGTAACTCTTATTCCTTTATGTGAATTTGTTCTGAATTCTGTTAGTGTTTTTGTAAAGATCTAGGTTAAAAAAGATCCCTTAAATTGTTATATAGAATTTTTAGTTAAACAATATTCTAATGCTTAGAGGGCAAACAAGATAAAATTACACCTTACAGATTTTTGCTTTAACAAGACATATATTCCTGGTTATACATGAGATAGGTTCACTTTTTTCTCTTTTTGCTAGTTAAGGTGACTTAAAATAAGTATTTTCTAAGCCTATACTCAGGTTTTAGCCCTCTGAATTTTTAAAAATAAATTTGTCACATATTTCTATGAATTTTAGAACTACAGAATTGGATCCAATATTTGTGTATCTGGTACTGAATATATTAGGGAGATTATTTTATAATTTTTAAGTCTGGTACCTTGTTTATGAATTTCAGTTGTGCCTACTTTAAAAAGCAACTAATATTTTGTTAATTCTTATTCATCTTTTATCCTTCGTGATTTATCGTTCATATCCTCTTATTCCTATACAGAGCCTGTCCTTCTCTACTGTGTGTTAGCCTACAACAAAAAGTGACACTTGATGTTTTTTGCTTCTCTAGTATTAGCTAAGAAATTTAGAAGCCCGAAAAGTTGTAAATCGTTGATATAGAAGGTTTCAACCTACCTCCTAATATACTTTGGTGAAAATTTAAGTAAAGGAAGTACAATGAGTCCTCTTTTGTTTTTGTTTAAGGAATACTATAGTAATAAGGAAAGATGGCTTTTTAAATGAAACTCAGTATCATTCCATTCAGCTCTTGGTAGCTAATAATTGAATTCATTTGTAAAATATTGCTGATACTAAGTATTTTAAGCTATTGGGGAAGTTATTCCATTAAACTTGGGGCTTTGGGAAGACTATAGTGAAGAAAGGGACCAGGAAATTTGGACCTTAGTTACCTTTTACTAATTATTGAGAAAAACAACCTCTTTGAATAAGGTGAGTGGGTCAGTGTTCCTTGAATAGTTACTATTCGCAGGCATGAGCTTTCTTCAGTGCCAGGTGTCTTGGTAATCATAGCCCAGACCAGTGATTTTCGAATTTGGGTGCATGTAAGAATGATGTGTACTTCTTGAAAATGCATAATCCTGAACTTAACTTCAGAGGTTTTTTTATTCATTAGGTTTGGGGAAAACACCAGGAATTTGTGCATTTGTGTATGTGTGTGTGTGTTTGAGAAATATCTGAGGTAGTTCTGACGCTTGTCTTAGAAAGACCATAGTTTGAAACTTAGGTTGTTAGCACCATGTGGATTTTCCTATATATCACAAACATAAACTTGTCTGCTTATAATAATAAGCTTCAAACACTAGCTGGTGTTCAAGGCAATTCTGACACTGTCAGCTTTCATCTCTTGACATTGGACCACTAACCTTAATTCTTAATCGCTGACACCTGGTGTTCATAGGCGCTTTTTTTGATGTTATTCATATGAGCCTTTGGTGTTCATATAAGCTTTTTCCAGGAGTTAGGTTTTTGCCTCTTCTCTAATGACTATGCTTGAGTTAACTAGTAATCTTAGTCAGGGTCATCAATTACCAAATGTAGATACTTTGTACTTCACAAGAGCAAATATGTACCCTGGGCCACTGAGCTGGGCTGTTTCTCTTACAGAGTGGTGAGTCAGACAGCAATAATGTCTTTATAAAGTCTAGTGAGATTATGCAAGATTATTATTATTATTTATGTACCTCTTTACACCAGTACTTTACAAATGAACATATATTACTTTTATAGGAATTCTAAAAACAAACAACAACAACAAAAGGAAATCATATGTTCACATCCTAAAATATTACAAGAAGACCTTTTTTGAAGATTTTTAACATTCCTGGTACAATTGGTTGGGTTATTTTTCTCATGTGCCTTCTCTATTTCGAGTATCTCCTGTCCTTCAGTGCTACACAAAATTTCTTAGGGTACATAATAAACCCAAAATAGTTATCGTACTTTGCTCAATTTCACTTGGCCCTGAAAATGATCCTTCTTCCCACTTACTGGCTCTTCTCTTTAACCCTAAGACCACACCACTGACCTTTATATCTTATGCTACAGTTTCTGAGGTGCCAGTTTGGTCATATCACTTCCCACCTCCATTTCTCTTCTCAGCTTCAAATTAAGCCACTCCAGTGGCTTCTCCTTTTTCTTAAAGACTGAAGTCTTAACATGGTCTTAAACATGTATATTCTCATTTTTACTTACTTCTCTGGCCTTTATTTTGCACTACCTCATTTTTCTTCTTTCTCAACAGAAATTATGCATGTTCTTCCTTTTGCTTGGAAGTCTTCCCCTCTCCCCTTCTTTCTTATTTAATTTCTACTCATCTCTTCAGTTCTCATCATTTCTTGGGGCACATGTTCCTAGAATAAGTAAATCCTTCCTATTTTAATTCTTATATTACCCCGTGTCTTTACTTTATGAGGCTGTAACTTCATATTTGTGGACTTTTTATGGCTGTCCACCAATCCATCTGGCAGTCTGATATTCATGAGGACACTGATTATGTCCATTTATGCTCAAGAATGAACCCCAGCTTCTAACGTGATGCCTGGCATGCAGAAGGTGCTCTTTTGTATTTGTTGAATGAATGATTACACTTTTTGAATTAAATAATTAAATTAGATTAAATTGAAAAATGTACAATCATTTTCTATATTGTCAGGAGTGTGCTGGAATCCTATATCTTGTTTTAGGATTCTTATTACCAACTCTCTGTCCCTACCTTTGCATTTATTTAAACATAATAATTAAGAATTGATTTTTAAAAAACTATTTGATTGTTATAGATTTTTGATTCTCTTAAAACAGATGGTTGGATTAATCTGAGGCAGTAAGAAGGATTCTTCTTCCTTTGTGCTTCAAGTGAATTTTAGAGTCAATCATTTCTGGTTTCAAATTGCATTTATGCCATTTATTACAATTGTGACTTTAGGCCAGGAATTCCTAATTGGGAGTGATTTTGCCTGCTAGGAGATATTTGGCAGATATCTTTGATTCTCATGACTGGAGGAGTACTACTGGTATCTTGTGGGTGGAGGACAAGGATGCTGCTAAGCATCCCATAATGCACAGGACAGTCCCCCTCATTCCCAACAAATAATTCTCTGACCCAAATATTAAATGTGTGAAGGCTGAGAAACCCCACCTTAGGTAAATTACTTAACCTTTCTAGATTTAGTTTCCTCATTACAAAATGCATATAACAAAATATACTCAAAGGACTGTGGCACAACATAAATTAGATAACGTAATTGCCTAATGATATAAATAGTACGAAATACTATTAGAGTTAGAGGTTTTCTTTGACTTTAAAAATCTTTCTTTTCCTTTCTTTCTTTCTTTCTTTCCCTCCCTCCCTTCCTCCCTTCCTTTCTTTCTTTTCTTTTCTTTTCCTTTCTTTCTTTCTTTTCTTTCTTTCTCTTTCTTTCTTTTCTTTCTTTCTTTCTTTCTTTCTTTCTTTCTTTCTTTCTTTCTTTCTCTTTCTTTCTTTTCTTTCCTTCCCTCCCTCCCTTCCTCCCTTCCTCCCTCCCTCCTTTCTTTTCTTTTCTTTTCTTTTTTCTTTCTTTCTTTCTTTCTTTCTTTCTTTCTTTCTTTCTTTATTTCTTTCTTCTTTCTTTCTTTCTTTCTTTCTTTCTTTCTTTCTTTCTTTCTTTCTTTTTCTTCTTTCTTTTTCATTTCAATAGCTTTAGGGGCACAAGTGGTTTCTAGATACATGGATGAATTGTATAGTGGTGAAGTCTGGGCTTTTAGTATACCTGTCACCCAAATAGTGTACATTGTACCAAATTGATAATTTTCAGTCCTTATCCCCCTTCCATCCTCCTCACTTCTGTGTCTCCAATGTCCATTATGCCACGCTGTATGTCATTAGAGCTGGAAGGTTTTTGAGAGCATGTTGTTCTGAATCATGCAACTGCTTTGCTCCATTTCACATTTACAGGGCTTTCCTTTCATTCTAGTCACTGCCAAGGAGATCACTTCTGTGCAGGCTTTTCCCTGCTTCTCTGCAGGGCAACCTAAGAGCACTTTGTTTTAGTCTTCTTTCCGTACCTGTCACTTCCTGATCCAGGGCTTCTCTGACATTTCTGAGTGGACCCTGTGAGATCCTGCTCCACACTCACGCAAGTGCAAACCATTAAGTTTGGGGGCTTCAGCACCCTTAAGGGCCGCCATTGACTGATGAAGCACTAAATCGATGCTTGCCCCTTTCTTCTTCTGGACAGACTACTCTGAGACACACTTCATGGGACTCCCCAAAGACTCTGAGTACCAGGAGCCCAGAGCTGTTGTCAGCTCAATGCCATCCATATACTTCTATTGGCTTCTCCTTTTGCCCTGCTTTATTCCTCTTGTTCTTCAGTTCTGCTCACTGGGATCATTTCTGAAATAAACTGCATGCATGTAGGCCTTTTTCCTAGGTTCTGCTTTCAGGAAACCTTAGTGCTGATACTTCTTATCTGAGAAATAGGGTATAGAGGCTCAGAAAGATGAGGCAATTTGTCAAAGGTTATGCAGTCAGTGCAGATGCCAAGACTAGAAACAACACATCCTGACACGTTTTCAGCGCTCTTGCCACTGCACCACAGTTTCTCTCCACATTATGGTTTGGCTCAGCTTATCAATGCTATTTATGTACTAAGTGTTTTGGTTATTATTAGGGACTGTTAAAATATGACAGGGAGGCATATGCTAATAAAATGTGTGGGTTTTTGGAATGCCAGCAAAAACTGTTTATGCCATGGTTTAAAAAATTATTTAAAGAATTTTAGGTGTTTTACCATCTGGAATGTCTACAAAAATATAAAACTATATCCCAAGTTTACATGATACTTAAATATGCTCATACATATAATTGTATTTCTCTAAGATTTGTATAACAATAAGTATTGTTAACAATTCACCAAATTTCTGTGTTATTTGATATTTCACAAAATCGATATGGCATCTTAACATGAAAAAGCCACTGACTCTAGTGTAAATAAAATTACACATAATAGTGCTCAAAATTGTCGATCAAATGTGTTGAGAAAAGGCTTTGGAGGTCATTTTAAAGCATCTATAATAAATCTGATGAATTAAGAGTAGGCAGAAAGATATTGCTACATTATGTGCTATTTATGTTAGTCTGTCTCTAGCATTACATTTCCCAGAAGTTGGAGAGAGCATGGCGTTCTTCACACAGACAGATCTTCTGTCACAATCTAATTCACAATTGCTCTTAATGAATTGTAAACTCATGCCAAGAGGGAGGTGATGCATTAATCCATATTAATATTTGTGAAAATGCATGTGAACACAGCCAGTGAGTCATCCTAAAATCTGGATTACCTTGCTCAAGAACAAAAGTATCAGCAGGGTTTCTGCATTTGTGAGCTCAGAAAAGCATTAAGCCTCAGCTTACCTACCTCAGAATGTGCTGAATTTATCCCAGTACTGCTGGATCAGGATTCATTTTCCAGCAAAATGGTGGTTCTGTTCTAAGCATAGACGAGAAGTAGGAGTGTTTGGGAGGCAGATAATAGGATAATCAATTCTAGGGAATGGGAACTGGACTGTGGAATGTTAGAAAGTATTAACATTTCCCACTCAAACTGCTCAAACAAAGAGCAATTAATGGTATGTTCTTCCTGTCCCTCCACTCACCACCCCGCCTACAAAAAAGGCCTTGCAAGACCAGGATTATATCAATGGAAAGTTAAAGTGATGCTATTGGCTAGGTTGAAAACTTGCCTCGCAGTGGAGATTTTCTTGGTGATACTGGACCACCCAATTTCTCAGCTTACTTACCTTGTCTTCAGGGTCCATTTAATATGTGACAGAGTCTTGTGTATCATGCTAAGTAACTTGGGCTTTGTCTTAAGAATACTGGCTAGATAGAGGCAGTTTTAAAGCAAAGGAACAACTTCAGGTATTTATTTTATTAATGAGCAGAAGTTGGAGAAAACTGAACACAGAAAAGTCAGTTTAGATGCTACTGATGTAATACAATTAAAGATGACAGGAAATTTCTTAGAAAGTATAAGTGGGAGTGGTGAGCACACAGTCAATGTAGGTGTAAGAGGAAGTGACTTACTTCGCCTGTTGCTTAAAGAGATGTTGAATAATTTCACATACATGTGTTGTGTAAGATCTTTCCCACATTGTTGGCTTTTCCTCAGATACACATTCTGCTTTTAATATTTATTGACATTCATTCATTCATTCACTTATTTACATATTTATCTTGCAACAAACATCTGCTAGATTCTATAACAGCAAGGGAAGGAAAGATAAAGATGACATAAAATTGTACCAAGTGTAGTGACAGACACAGATCTTCATTCCTGCTTATAGGAAGTTATAATCTGCTGAAAGACTTTTTAAATAATATGGTTATGTTTTTAAATAATATGATTTTTAAAATATTAAACCATAAACATATAAAGTAATATGGTTATATTTTTTGATTTCTAGAAAAAAAAGCACTAAAGAGCCAAAACATGGATATTATGTTTTTGCCACTAAATTTCTGAATTTTTTTACATAAATCACTTCGCTGTCCATCTCCGAATTTGTGAAGTAAGGAGTTTGCAACTTCGAAATGCTATGAGCTGCTCAACATCGTTAGTTATTAGGGAAATGCAAACCTCAGATATCTTAGATAATCTGCATAATAAGATATCATTTCACTTCCACTAGAATGGCTGTAATAAATAAGGAAGACAATAAAAAATTTTATTGAAGATGTGGAAAATGTGAACTCTCATACATTGCTGATAGGAATGTAAAATGGCAAAGCCACTTTGGAAAATAGTTTGGCAGTTTCTCAAAAAGTTAATAACCAAACTATCATGATCTAGCCACCCAACTCTACATATTTATTCAAGGTAATGACAACATAAGTCCACACAAAGACTTTTGAGTGAATTTTTATAGCAGCATCACTATTCCTAGAGTCAGAAACTGGAAAACCCCAAATGTCCATCAGTTTGTGAATGGGTAGACAAAATGTGGTAGATCTATACAATGGAATATTATCCAGTAATAAAAAGGAACAAACTACTGAATATTACTTTATAGATGAACTTTAGAAATGTGTAAAGTGAAAGCATCCAGATATGAGGCTACGTATTGTATGATTTTTATTTACAGAGACAGAAAGTAGATTAGGAGTTTCCTGGGGCTACTGGTAGGATAAGAGTTTAACTCTAAATGGACATAAGAAATCTTACTGAGGAGATAAATATGTTCTACGACTGATTTATGATTATGGTTGATTATTAAGAATAACTAAGTTATAAACTCATGAAAATGGGTGAATTTTGTGATTTGTAAAATGTACGTCAATAAAGCTGTTTGAAATATGCTATAAGCAATAAATGATGACCTGTCTTTAGAGACACGCAGAAAAAAGACAAGGTATGGCCAGAGTCAGCACATTTTCTGAATGTGATTTCCACATTCTCGCACAGAACCATTACTTGAAGTTTAATACTTTTCCTTCAGTGCTTTCACAATGTAATTTAATTTGTTTTGCCTGAGACTTTAATATTTCATATTCATCAAGCATTTGCCAAAGAGGCACTGTGTTCCTCTCACTTTCCTAGAAGAATAAAGGGGGTGTGGCACATAGAAGTTGGCTAGGTGTACTCTATGGGGATGTCTCTACTTTGAGTCTGAGCTTCACTCCATTGTGCTATAGCTGGCTGCTTGATTAGCTAAGGAAATGCAAACATAATGAGTTAGTGCCTGCCAACTCAGGAATTGTGCAGGTTGCCTTTAATTGTTATTCTCTGTAAACTAATTAATAAATTAATAATTTCAGAGAGATATTTTCATTTTTATTCTCCTTATTTCTTCTTTTAAATGTTTTTACTAATTTCTCTTCATTCACAAAAGACTGACATGTTAACCCTTCTTTTCTAAGTATGTTTAATTCCTTTTTTCATTTTCTTTTTCATTTTATCTGTTCTCCTGTAAATGTTCTTTACTTTTTTGGTTTCTTGATTTCTTCTTTGTGGCAGTTGTGTCTGGCTATGAAAACTCTTGGAAAATGTAAACTTTCATCAAAAATTATGAAAATAAATTGAATCTCAGGAAATTAATTGGCTTTTCCTTCTCAAATATTTATAGATATATGACTCAAGTGAAATCACAAAGCTGCAAAGTCACTTCTTGAATGCCTTTCCTATAATAATTTTAAAAAAACAATTTTCTTCCCCATTGAGCTTCTTGCTTGCTGCTCTTAGTGACACAAAATACCAAAGTATTTATTAAGTTGGGACAGTCAACATTTAGTTTTTTCTTCTTCAAAACCAATTATAATTTATCCTGGATTCTTTAAAGAAGGAGAATGGAAGCCAAAATAGAATCATGAAGAGCTAAGAGTAAAATTTTTCCAATTAGCACAACAGGTTGTCTATACAGACTGGCCCTAGCAATCCTCCCTACTTATCTTAGCATTATTGCTATCTGGTTTGGATTATAATTCCACTGGACAGGTTATTATAGCCTGAAAGCCACCTAGTATTTTGTCGATATTAAATAATCCTTAAGTAGGCATTAGCCCTTTGATTTTACTGTACATTACCATAAATAATGAATCTTTATCGTTACGTATTCACTTAGGTGAAATTACCATGAAGTCCCACTTAGTAATTCACTGTATCCTAGAATTCTAGGGTCACTAAAGAGTTGATTTTTTTGGACTCACTGAAAATATTTTGCATTAGTTTGTCTCAGGCAAGTTTAGTATCATACTGAAACCAATAACATAGTGAACTCTAACTGAAACAAACCCATCCTACAAGCAGAAGTGGTTTATTAAAGCATACTTGAGCAAAGTCTGACTATCTAAAGATTTCTTACTTGATAACACATGCAAAATAGAACCTTAATGATAATAGAAAACACTTATTTCATGCAAACTACATGCTAGCACATCAAGGAATAACTCATTTAATCTTCTCAATTTTACAAGTGAGAAAACTGACGCAGAGAGGTAAAACAACTTGTACAAGTTCCCATACTAGAAAGGAGCAAAATTGAGACTTAAACCCAGAAAGCCTATCTTCAGTCTATGTGCTTAATTACTATATAGAGCCTTTCTGGGTAGATAAGATTCTATATGTGGTACATAGTAGCTTCAGTATATACTTAAAGAATGAAAAGAAAACACCATACCAGATAAAACTAGGCTTACTGGTAGTACCCTATTACAATCTGGGGAGAGAAAGCTAGGGGAACAATGTCTTAAAAATTTGAGAGAAAAACATTTACTGTTCAGAAACTTTTAACAAGCCAAATTTTTAATCAAATTTGAGATTATAGTAAAAACAATTTCATTTTCTTTTTAATTATTTTTTTTCTTTTTTAAATTCAGAGTTCATTTTCAGCCAGGTCAGCATTACCCTGATACCAAAGCCAGACCAAGGACACTACAAGAAAATTACATGCCAATATCCCTGATGAACATAGATGCAAAAATTATCAACAACATACTAGCAAACTAAATTTAACAGCACATTAAAAGGATCATTCAATATGATCAAGCAGAATTTATCACATGGATACAAGAATGGTTCAACATATACAAATTTATAAATGCTGTATATGACATTAACCAAATGAAGCCCAAAAACCATATGATCATCTCAATCGATGCAGAAAAAGAATTTAACAAAATTTAACATCCTTTCATAATAAAAATTCTCAACAAAGTAGGTATAGAGGGAATGTACCACAATACAATGAAGGTCATATATAACAAATCCACAGATAACAACATACTCAATAGTGAAAAGTTGGTCAGGAGCAAGACAAGGGTGCCCACTGTCACTTCTTATATTCAGCAAAGTACTAGAAGTCCTAACCAGAGCAATTAGGCAAGCAAAAGAAAGAAAATGCATAACAATTGCTAAAGAAGCTGACCTGTTCAGACTTTTGTTTCCATTATGATTGTGTAGAAGCAAACTGGCTTCACTACTGCCATAAAAAAAAAAATAAATATACAGTGCTTAGGTTATTACCAGCAATATCCCAGAACTCAAATATGAGGATGAGTCATTTCCTGGGGCCACAGAAAACTTAAAATCTGTGAGCAGATGATCGGAGAATCAGATTTCCAAATCCACAATGCTCCTCTTCCCACTCTGCTTAACAGCAAGCATGGGGAAAATTTCCCGTAACTCTCAGTTTTTAAAACACTGGAAAAAGTGAGTCAAGGTGGACAACCAGCTTCTCCACCATCATTGGTTCACTGACAGGAGACTCATCTCTTCCTCAACTTACAGGAAGCATTGTGACTGCTAAATGAGAGAAATTACTCCTGCAGGCAGCTAGTGAGAAAGTAGGGAGGCAGGACTATCATACCCAGCCCTGAAAATTCTGCTGTGTAACTCAGCCAATGGAGAAGCCAAATTAAAGTGGCTGTTCAGCAGCACAATGCTGTAGGAGGTACGTTCCACAGGTCCCCTGGGCATGAGCCCAAGCCAGCTTTCCCACACTGCCATGATATCCCCCTTGAGACCTCCCCTATTCAGGATGGGCAGTATTCTGATTGTTAGAGCTGGGAAGAACCTGGGCTTATAGTGCCATCTAGTGCCAAAAATGAGGGCATGATCTAGCGAAAGAAAAAAAAAAAAAAAAGAAAGACATTCAACAGTTACATTACAAAGAATCTCTAAGCAAATATAACCAATTAAAACCAAAGCAAGCCGACAGAGAAGACGGGACTAAATACATAATCATTCAATGCAAAGAAATAGATATACATCCACAAGAACAAGGGCAAATGGGGAACCAATGAGAAGACAATATGTGAGCTCTCTGATCAAAAGTTCAAAATCCAGTTTTAAGGAAACTCAGTGATCTCCAATATAACACAGAAAAGCAAGTCAGAAATGTATCAAAGAAATCTAACAAAGAGATTGAAATAATTTAAAAAATCAAATGGAAATCTTGGCTCTGAGAAATACATTTGCTGAATTGAAAAATTTATTAGAGGCTCTTAACAGCAGAATGGATCAAGCAGAGGAAGGAATCAGAGAACTTGAAGACAGGCTACTTGAAATTATACAGTCAGGAGAGAAAAAGGATAAAAAACACAAAGATTTCCTACAAGATTTAGAAGATTACCTCAAAAGACCAAATCTGAGAATTACTGGTATTCAAGAAGGAGCTGAGCAAGGGCAAGAGCAAGGAGTAGAAAGCTTATTCAAATAAATAATAACAGAAAACTTTCCTCAACTTGAGAAAGATAAATATCCAGATAGTAAGGTCCAAGAACCTCAAATAAACTTGACCCAAATGAGATGACCAAAAGGCATGTAATAATCAAGCTCTCAAAGATCAAGGACAGAGAGGGGATCCTAAAAGCAGCAAGAGAAAAGAAGCAAATAACATATAAAGGAACTCCAAATTATTTGGAAACAGACTTCTCCATGGAAACCATATAGGCTAGGAGAAAGTTGGATGACATTTTTAAAGTACTGAAAGAAAATAACTTCCATCCAAGAATACCGTATCCAGCAAAGCTATTCTTCAAATATGAAAGAGAGATAAAATCTATCCCAGACAAACAAAAGCTAAGAGAATTTACCCCCACCAGATCCATCTTACAAGAAATGCTAAGGAGAAGTCTTTAATTTGAAAAAACCCTACTAATGTGCAAATTGTAAAGGAAGAAATATTGCTCCTGTTTTCAGACGACTTGATCTTATATATAGAAAATCCTAACAACTCCACCAAAAAACTATTAGGGCTTAAAACTAATTCAAAAAAGTTGCAGGATACAAAATCAACATACAAAAATCAGTAACATTTCTATGTACTGACAGTGAATTATCCAAAAAAGAAATCAAGAAAATAATCTCATTCATAATAGCTAAGCAACAACATTAACAACAGAAACAACAAAGGAATAAATTTAACCAAGGAGGTAAAAGATTTGTACACTGAAAACTATAAAACATTGAAAAAAAATTGAAGAAGACTCAAATAAATGGGAAGATAGCCCATGCCCATAGATTGGAAGAACTGATGTTGTTAAAATGTTCATACTACCCAAAGCAATCTACAGATTCAATGTAATCCATATAAAAATTCCAATGACATTATTTTACAGAAATAGAAAATATGTATGGAACTATGGCAGATCCTGACTAGACAAAGCAATCTTTAGCAAAAAGAACAAAACTGAAGGCATCAGACTACCTGATTTCAAAATATGCTACAAAGCCACAAAGTTGTCAAAACAGCATGGTACTTCTATAAAAACAGACACGTAGACCAATGGAATGGAATAAAGAGACCATAAATAAACTCACAAATTTAAAGTCAATTGATTTTTGAAAAAGGTACCAAGAACATACAATGGCGGAAAGAACTGTCTCTCCAATAAATGATAGTAGGCAAATTGGATATCCACATGCAGAAGAATAAAATTGGACCCTTATATCATGCCATATAAAAAAAATCAACACAAAATGGATTAAAAACTTAAATGTAAGACCAGAAACTGTGAAAACACTGTAAGAAAACGTAGGGGAAAAGCTCCACAACACTGGTGTTGGCAATAATTTTTTGGATATGACCCCAAAAGCACAAACAATGAAAATGAAAATACACAAACAGGATTACATCAACCCAAAAGAGCTCATACAGCCAGGAAAATAATCAATAGAGTGAAGTGACAACCTAGAGAATGAGGGAAAATATTTGTAAACCAAAGAGGTTAGTATCTAAAATGTAAAAGAAACTCAAACATCTCAGTAGCCAGAAAATAGCCTGATTAAAAACTGAATTTGAATAGACCTGTCTCAAAAGAACACATACTAATGCCTAACAGATATATGAAAAAATGCTCAACATCAATAATAATTAGGGAAATGCAAATTGAAACAACAGTAAGGTATCACCTTACACCTGTTAGAATGGCTAATATCAAAAGGCAAAAGATAAGTGTTGGCAAGGATGTGAAGAAAAGGAAACCCTTGTATACGGTTGGCAAGAATGTAAATTAGTACAGCAATTATGGAAAACAAGGTATCTGCACTCCCATGTTTATTGCAGCATTATTCATAATAGCCAAGGTATGGACTCAATATCTTAGTGTCCATCAATGGATAATGGATAAAGAAAATTTGATACGTATATGCAATGGACTACTATTCAGTCTTAGAAGGACATCTTGTCATTTGTAATGATATGCCACACATAGAAAGACAAATATTGCATAATGTCACATATATGTGAAATCTAAAAAGTTAAACTTAAGGAAGCAGGAATGGTGGTTACTGGGGGCAGAGTTGTGGGTAGCTGGGGAGACAAAGGTAAAAGGATACAAAATTTCAGTTAGATAGAAAGAGTAAATTTAAGAGGTCTATTGTGTGGCAGAGTGACTGTAGTTAACAACAATGTATTCTAAAAAAATGCTGAAAGTAAAAATAAAAGTAATTTAAGTTTCAAATACTCAGAAAATTTTCCCTCCGTGCATCTTTTATTAGAAAGCTACTGGAAGTTAGACGCTAAATTTAAAAAGAGGAATCATGAAATAGAGAAAATAGTGAATCCATCATGAGATTTTCAAGAAGATACAAGATGAAGAGGAAAGGAAGACCCAAGAGGACAACTCTGCCATAGGTTTAAAGAACAAATCATCACATGGAGTAGCAGGAGGTCTCTGAAGAGAGGTTAAGAGAAAAAAAAAAAAAGAGTTGACATGCTATTTTTTTTTTTTTTTTTTTTTTTGAGACAGAGTCTCACTCTGTGGCCCAGGCTGGAGTGCAGTGGTGTGATCTCGGCTCACTGCAACCTTTGCCTCCCGGGCTCAAGCGATTCTCCTGCCTCAGCCTCTTGGGTAGCTGGGATTACAGGCACGTGCCACCACACCCAGCTAATTTTTGTATTTTTAGTAGAAATGGGGTTTCACCATGTTGGTCAGGATGGTCTCGAACTCCTGACCGCAAGTGATCCACCTGCCTTGGCCTTCCAAAGTGCTGTGATTACAAGCATGAGCCACCGTGCCCATCCAAAAAAAGTTTATATGCTTTTGAAACTATGAGCATTTGAAAATAATACAGTAGGTTTATGGCATATACGATGTGACATTTGAAAATAATCAAGAGTAACAATCAGAATATTAAGCAAGAGAAATAACTGACAGTTATTAAATCTATGTATAGAAAGAGTAATATACAAACAAGGGAATAAAATCTTAGTATAGTATTTGGCTCAATAGTGAATAAGGAAAACTAGTAATTTAAAGACTGGCTACTAAATTAACCAAAATTTCGATATGATTGTATTTTAAGGATGGTGGGTAGGAAGCAGATGTAGAGGAAGCAGTTCTAAGTGTGAAAATATGATCTACTGCAATTGAAAGTAAGTAATTTCTAAAATTGATAAATCAAGAAATAGCAGTATAATCATTGTATTCAGAAATATAGATGCTAAATATTAGAAGAAACAGATGATGTAATTAGAAGTGTTTGCATTTGAAACTAGGGAGCATTGAGTGGCAGAAACTGCTTTTTTGCAGGAAGATTATTTATACATTTTCTCCTTTCAAAATTATGTACATTCATTACTTTTTTAAAAAAATTTTATTATACTTTAAGTTCTGGGATACATGTGCAGAATGTGGAGGTTTGTTACATAAGCATACACATGCCATGGTGGTTTGCTGGACCCATCAACCCATCATCTACATTAGGTATTTCTCCTAATGCTATCCCTCCCCTAGCCCCCCGTCTCCCAACAGGCCCTGGTGTGTGATGTTCTCCTCCCTGTGTCCATATGTTCTCATTGTTCAGCTCCCACTTATGAGTGAGAACATGCAGTGTTTGGTTTCCTGTTCTTTTGTTAGTTTGCTAAGAATGATGGGTTCCAGCTTCATCCATGTCCCTGCAAAGGACAGGAACTCATCCTTTTTCATGGCGGCACAGTATCCCACTGTGTATATGTTCCACATTTTCTTAATCCAATCTACCATTGATGGGCATTTGGGTTGGTTCCAAGTCTTTGCTATTGTGAACAGTGCTGCCATAAGCATACGTCTACAGGTGTCTTTATAGTAGGATGATGTATAATCCTTTGGGTATATACCCAGAAATGGGATTGCTGGGACAAATGGTATTTCTGGTTCTAGATCCTTGAGGAATTGCCACACCTTCTTTGACAATCGTTGAACTAATTTACACTCCCACCAACAGTGTAAACTGTTCCTACTTCTCCCTGTCTTCTCCAGCATCTGTTGTTTTCTGACTTTTTAATGATTTCCATTCTAACTGGTGTGAGATGGTGTCTCACTGTGGTTTTGATTTGCATTTCTCTAATGACCAGTGACGATGAGCTTCTTTTCATATATTTGTTGGCCGCATAAATGTCTTCTTTTGAGAAGTGTCTGTTCATATCCTTTGACCACTTTTTGTTGGGGTTGTTTGTTTGTTTCTTGTAAATTTGTTTAAGTTCCTTGTAGATTCTGGATATTAGCCCTTTGTCACATGGATAGATTGCAAAAATTTTCTCCCATTCCGTAGGTTGCCTGTTCGCTCTGATGATAATCTTTTTTGCTGTGCAGAAGCTCTTTAGTTTAATTAGATTTCATTTGTCAATTTTGGTTTTTGTTGCCATTGCTTTTGGTGTTTTAGCCATGAAGTCTTTGCCCATGCCTATATCCTGAATGGTGTTGCCTAGGTTTTCTTCTAGGGTTTTAATGGTTTTAGGTCTTATGTTTAAGTCTTTAATCCATCTTGAGTTAATTTTTGTATAAGGTGTAAAGAAGGGGTCCAGTTTCAGTTTTCTGCATATGGCTAGCCAGTTTTCCCAATACCATTTATTAAATAGGGAATCCTTTCCCCATTGCTTTTGTCCGGGCTGTCAAAGATCAGATGGTTGTAGATGTGTGGTGTTATTTCTGAGGCCTCTGATCTGTTCCATTGGTCTATATATCTGTTTTGATACCAGTACCATGCTGTTATTGTTACTGTAGCCTTGTAGTATAGTTTGAAGTCAGGTAGCGTGATGCCTCCAGATTTGTTCTTTTTGCTTAGGATTGTCTTGGCTATACTGGCTCTCTTTTGGTTCCATATGAAATTTAAAGTAGTTTTTTCTAATTCTGTGAAGAAAGTCAATGGTAGCTTGATGGGGATAGCATTGAATCTATAAATTACTTTGGGCACAGTGTCCATTTTCATGATATTGATTCTTCCTATCCATGAGCATGGAATGTTTTTCCATTTGTTTGTTTCCTCTCTTATTTCCTTGAGCAGTGGTTCATGGCTTATCCACCACACTCAGGTTGGTTTCATCCCTGGGATGCAAGGCTGGTTCAACATACTCAAATGAATAAACATGAACCATCACATAAACAGAACCAATGACAAAAACCATGTAATTATCTCAATAGATGCAGAAAAGGCCTTTGATAAAATTCAACACCCCTTCATGCTAAAAACTCTCAATAAACTAGGAATAAACTAGGTATTGATGGAATGTATCTCAAAATAATAAGAGCTATTTATGACAAACCCACAGCCAATATCATCCTGAATGGGCAAAAGCTGGAAGCATTCCCTTTGAAAACCGGCACAAGACAAGGATGCCCTCTCTCACCACTCCTATTCAATATAGTATTGGAAGTTCTGGCCAGGGCAATCAGGCAAGAGAAAGAAATAAAGGGTATTCAAATAAGAAAAGAGGAAGTCAAATTGTCTCTGTTTTCAGATGACATGATTGTATATTTAGAAAACCCCATCATCTCAGCCCAAAATCTCCTTAAGCTGATAAGCAACTTCAGCAAAGTCTCATGATAAAAAATCAATGTGCAAAAAACACAACCATTCCTATACACCAATAACAGACAAACAGAGAACCAAATCATAAGTGAACTCCCATTCACAATTGCTACAAAGAGAATAAAATACCTAGGAATCCAACCTACAAGGGATGTGAAGGACCTCTTCAAGGAGAACTATGAACCACTGCTCAAACATTCATTACTTTTACAAAAATAAAATCAATAAAAATATTCCTAATAAAATAAAAATTGATCTGTTCAGAATCAGGCCCTGGCTGAAGAAGATGATAATAAAAATTGTGAGATATTGAAAAAATTAGAGGAGAAAACTCTAGAATTATGTGCTTTGAAAATATTTAAATTAGAGCAAAATTTTAATATGATTTGCACAAGGTTCTAAATAACTATAGAAAGAGATCTTCTCAAGGGTTCTGCTACCCTTGCCTCCATTCTGCTGTGCTGGATCAGTTTTTCTGCCTTCCATTTATTCACTTTGAAATCTTATACAAGTCACCCAAACTGTCTTTGAGGATTCAACCTAGAGTCTAGGCTCTAAACTGACCTCTTTGAGCTTCCCTCACCTTTTCTGCTAGGTGTTCATTTTGGGCCTGCCCTATGATACTTCATAGAATAATCTGATCCACGTGACCTTTTCCAGCCAGGAGGTGGGAAGTCAGGGTGCCCAACCAAATATGCACTGCCTTTCTCAGACTTTGACACTTGACATAAGGGCTCTCGACAAACTTCATAGAGCAATACTGGTTTCTACCTCCAGTGGTTGGAGTCATTCTTGCTCAAAGCCCCTCTAAGCTACCTATTCCTTCCCTCCCTTCATTCTCTTTCCTTATTCAACAGAGGCAGCAATGTAGAGAAAGTATATAGCTTTTAGAATCTACTTAAGTTCAAACATTAGCTGCATGTCTTTTCTAGACAATTATGAATCAACCAGCAACAGTGAAGATAAAATTAAACAAGATAATTTGTGTAAAATACCAGGGACAGAACTATAAATGATAGTATAATTATTAATTGTTGGTAGTAGTAGAAAAAGTAGTAGTAGTAAATTGTTAGTAGTATTTTTATTTTAGCAGGATCAAGGATTAATTGGACCTTTAGATCCCTTCCTTTCATCTCAAGTGGCAAAGTTGGAGTATCTTTTTACCCTTTTCGGTCAATCTTGGTTTATATTTCTTTATTCTTTATTATCCTGTAAATATCTTTAGCTTAAAAATTAAATAATATGCTTTATGGTTTGAGAATTTTTTCTTTTTCTTGAATCATCTTAACCACACATGTAATCTTTTAAACTTACATTATTTGCTAAAGCAGGCTCAATGAAAGTAGATACAATTATTCAAAGTTTATTTATGAAAAGACTGACTAGTGCTTAATTTTATATAATCTACAGAGTCAAATTGAAAACATTGCATTACTATATTCAAGGGGGATTATCTAGATGTTATAACTTAAACACATGAGCATTCATTTCCTAAATATTCAGTGCCTGTGGATCATCTTTTGGAGTGCTTTTAATTCCAGCTAAAAAGGCACGTCATTACCTGATTCTTAATATTTACTTTGTTCTGGATTCATAGAAAATATCTTTTCAGAAAAGTGCCTTTTGTTGAACTGTGCAGCAAAGTCAGTTAGATAGAGGTACTTGAGATGGCCACAGGACAGATGATTCAACTCTTTTGGTTTGTGAATTTGGATGGGCAGTGAAGGCAGAAGTTGGGATTAGTGAGGACACAAGATTGTTTAGATAGGCAGAGATCATTAAGCTTGATTTTGAATCATATCCAAAGGCACATTGAGCCTGATACAGTTCAAGCTCCATTACAGCTTTGATGACAGTGCAAAAGGGCTGAAGAAGATCATCTAACTCATTACAGCTAGCTTCTTTAATACTCAAAAAAATTATAAATTATTGCTTAAAATGCAGTAAAATGAGTATGTGTCTGAATTTGTGGAAGAGTGCAGGATTCATGCATTTACCTTATTTTTTAAAATAATTCATTTTATAAGAAACCAGAGACAATAGTTTCTTCTCTCTGGTTTCCTATGAATGATCAAGAGGGTAAGTCAAACATATGGTGACTATCTCTATGTATGCATATTTAGCACTCTGCTATGCTCAGTGGCAGATACAGTCAAGATTTATTCCTCTCTTTTCCCTTATTTGGGAAGATAAAACACATAAATGTGAAAATATAGTGATAATACAAGGTAGAAATTGTTAAGTGCCAATTGATTTATACAGATTAAAAAAACTTTCAGGAGAGAGTTCCGAGGAAGGGAACTAATCCCAGATTGGAATAATCAATTATGCCCTCACAGAGGGACTGGCATTTGATATGGGCTTTGATGTAGAATTCTGATGAGTGAAAAGATGGGAAGAGTATATTTTTGGCAGAGGAAAAGTGTAAGTAGACCAGACTGGCTAGAAGAGAGGATTTAGTTAGAGGAGCAGTAAAAGATAAGATTTAAGGCTAAGATGAGTCTTAAGGGCCACGTAGAAGATTTTGAACACTTGAGGGAGATACACATTATTAAATGGCAAATCCTCTTTCAGGATTCAGTTGAAATGTCACTTCTTCAGAGCATTCTTCCTTGGACACTTTCCTAAAGTAGTCAACTTTTTCCCCATCTTCCCCTCTCCCCATGCTATCACAGTTACTGCCTAATACATCACCATATTTATTTCTTTCATAGCATTTAGCAGAATCTGCAACTGCTACACAGTTGAAGAACAGCAAAGATTAATTGGTAAGAAGACTCTGAAAATTCTTACATTTGAACAGGGAAGACACATGTAAATTCAAACCAGTAATATGAAATAGAATATGAAAAGTGACTCGATTAGAATAATGTTAATTTATGGCAGAAGAAAGTTGGTTGGGATTTGAATGAGAACATGATAGGAGTTTCTAATTCATGGCTTGGATGATATCCATCTTAAAATAATTCATTACACCAAACATTTGGTTTATGTGATTTTCTGTACCTGTTTATAATTACACAATAGAATATTATTAAAAGTTATTGGAAAAAGAAATACAATGATATGGCAATTGGAAAGAAAGAGGAAACATGTCCAGCTATGGTCATCAGAAAGGTATCCTGGAGGTGATGACCCTTGAGCTGAAACAACTTTATAAGATTCCTATAAGGTGAGGTATGAGATGGCTTTTGGGGTAGGAAGAAAGGAATAAATAAAATCCCAGAAGTGGAAAAACCTGGAGTGTGTTTAATAGTGTTAATTGCAATTGCCTTTGATGGAGGAGTGGGGAAAGCAAATGCTGGGAAGATGGACTGGGATCATGGGGAACAGAAGTGACAACTTGTGATAAGTACTGTATGTTTCCAACTCACAGTAGTCATCTTGTAAGTATTTTTTTGAATACATGAAATTTGTATTAGGTGGTATACAATTGGCCTAGTGCCTACAGTTGATCTGAATTTCCCTCTTGAGCAAATAGAGTTGTCATATATTTTAGTCCACCACTGATGCGTAAATAAGCACCTGCAGCAAAGAGAAAAAAGGAAATTTAAAATCCATTAGCAGATGTTTATGCAAAGGCAGCAAAGACCAGGAAGCTTTCAAAGGCAGGATAGGTGGTACATGTTAACTTTATTGGTGATTTTTTTTCTTAAAATTTGAAATGTTTATATGTTATATTATAAATCAGGAAGTAGGATAATTCAGAAATGGAGAAGAAAATTAGTGAATATTGAAATTAGAAACATCTGGGTAAATAGAATAATAGAGGTAGGTTTTGATTAAAAGTTGGAGGAAATAAGTTGGAAGTAAAGAATTAAGAGTGAATGAGTCATTGAATGGCTGAGCAGGAAAGTACATATCACCTGTGTGGAAGAAGCAAGTACTTTTGAATAAGACAGGCTTTGGGTTTTGAATCTTGGTCACCAATGACTAAATCTTGGTTATCCAATGACTAGATGACATTGGTTATGCAGTAACTTGGGCCTTACTGAACCTCAGTTACATTCAAATCATAAGGTTGCTGGGTTTAAATGAGACATGGAATTTAAATATTTAGTACTATCTCTGGTTCCTTGTGGTTCTCAATAAATAATGGTAACTTTCCACTGTTCCCTCCACTTTTCCTTCCCCCTCCCCACAGTAGCATAACTGCTATGCTTCTGGACTAAAGTTCAGTTAGAAAAACACAGTAAACTTTATTTCACTAAGTTAGAATTGGCTTGCTCTGTATCTACCCTGGTGTCTGGATGCCTTTTTCTATTTGATCTGAGTAAAGACCAAATTCCATCTGGAGTTTATAAAACATCTTTTACTTGTCATTTTCAAACAGATTTTTCTGCATGTGTCTACTAGATGGTTTGAAAGCTGTAAGGAGGAATAAAATGCTGTGAAAGAATTCCAAGGTGGTATGTAGATTTTCTGACTGTAGCAAACAGTTTTTTTATTATTAAAAGCACCAAAGTTTATTATCAAAATTATCAACTGTACTTTCCATAAAGATGGAATATTATGAGCTCAATTAATGTGCTCCATTACCTCACTATTACAAAATAAATCCAAAGTTCTTAGTATGACAATTAGATCTCTCCATCATTCATCTGAGGCTTCTGTTTCATCTTTATTATAGATATTTTTTCAAATTTATTATTTGCAAATTGCATTTTATATTCTTATTCAAACCTCACGACTTCCCACAACTCATTTATTAAGTAGTGAGGCTAGTAATTCAAACTTGGTCTCTGTGATTTAAAACTCTTGTTCTTTTTCCACACTGGAATGCTCTCCTTCTTGCCTTCTACCTGAAGCATCTTTTGTATTAGTTATTGTTCTATTTATCTTTCGTGTCCTGGCTCACATGATACCTTTTCAATGAAGCCTTCCTTGATGCTTCCAGTTGTATTTTAGTTCTCTTCCCTATACTTCCAAAGCTCTTTAGACCTTTATTATAGCCTAGTATCTAAGTTTGTTCTACTAGAGTTAATATTATGGCAGAGATAATAATTTATCCCCCTAAATATCCAAGTTCTCTTTTCTTTGATAGTATATAGAACTTCCAACTTTTAGCTATGCACAAACAATATTCTCAGCCTTTCTGATAGATAGCCATAGGACTAAGTTCTGGTCACTGGGATATAAGTGGAAGTGTCATGTGCACTGGGAAGTAAGTACTTAATGAGATAGTGATTGTCTGTCTTTATCCCTTGTTGCTGGCTGGCTGCAATGTGCTTGTCATCTCTGGAGCTCAGGCAACTGTACTGGGCTATGAATTAGAAGCTGTGTGCTAGAAGGGAAGAGGAATAAGAGAGAAGCTAAGGTCTCTGATAGGTTTAAAAATATCTCACCAATTTTAATCTACTAATAGATTGCTTTGGATTTCTTTTACATGTGAGATAAACTTCTATTTGTTTAAGGCATTGTTATTTTAGGGTTTCTATTATTTGCAGCTGAATGTAATTCTACCTGATATAATTGCTTTTATTCTTAGATAGTCTCTCTTTTCTAACCCAATGTTCCTTCCTCTTCCTCTTCCCACCGCTGTGAACTGCTTGAGGGGAAGAGTTGTGTTTCATTCATTTTTTACATGGGAATAAATATATATTAGAGGATTAGACACTTATTTATTTATTCAACCAATACATTACTAAATGTCAGGCACTGTGTTAGGTAGAAACAATTCAGACATGGTCCCTCTCCTGATAGAGCTCAAGAGGGAGACAGATTCTGAATAATCATTGTTAACAGTGGGTCTCAGTATTTGCTCCATGTCATCTTTACCTGGGAGTTTCAGAAGACTACTAAGACCCACATCCATTCCCCTAACCCCTAACAATTTAACTAGAAACTCAGGAGATGTGATCTGGGCATCTATGTTCTAAGAGCTTCCCAGTTGATTTTAATGTGCATTGAAGTTTGAGAACCATTGAATTAAACCAACAAGAAGGCACAGCAGTGACTTTAATCTAATTACTAATGGTAGCCAGAGAACACTAATAACTACCATGTGAGAACTGTGTTAGAGTCCTGGGGCTGACACCACAAATTACCACAAACTAGGTGGCTTAAAATAATATAAATCTATTCTCATACAGTTCTGGAGGCCAGATATCTGAAATGAAAGTGTCATTGGCATGACCATAGTCCTTTTGGAAACTCTAGGGTAGATTTCTTCCTTGCTTCTTCCAGCTTCTGATGGCTCCAGGTGTTCCTTGGTGTCCTTGGCTTGTGGCTACATTACTCCACCAATATTTGTCTCCATCTTCATAATGCTTCTTCCTCTTATATTAATCTTTCCTATCCCTTATAAGGACACTTCTCATTGAATTTAGGTCCCAACCAGGTAATCCTGGGTGATCTCTTTATCTCAAGATCCTCAACTTAAATCGGCAAATAACTTTTTTTTTTTCAAATAAGGTAACATTAAAAGATTCCAGGAATTAGGGTGTGGTCCTATCATTTAGGGGACCACTATTCTACCCATTAGAATTACCTCTTGTATATTGGGCACTAAAATAGCTTTCATGTGTTTATTCTTATTTAATTCTGTTGTGACTTTTGTTGTTGTGATTTTCCTCTAATTTGGTCTTGAGGTCTCTCTCTGGAGAGTGGCTATAAATTCTAGCTCTGCCCTGGTGGAAGTTCAGAGGAGGTGGTCATAGATGTTTACAGTGTGCTTTTCATGGGGGTCTGTCTTTATCCTGGAAGATGGCCTAATGTCTGTCAGATGCAAGATCAGGTGTCTCTCTCCCAGGAAGCCTGTTTATATTGAAAGATGCCTTGTAGTTCATGTTTGACCTAGGTCCAGTTTGTTCCCATCCAAGTAGCCACTCTGTAGGAAGAGCTCTGACCAGGGGAGTGAGGTTGGGGTGTATAGGTCAGGTCACAGGGGAGACAGTACAACAAAACACATGAAATGGCAGAAGCAGCACGTTATTGACAGATCTGTGAGAGAATAGGATTGCCCATGAGCGAAGTCCAGAGACAGCAGGATGGTCAGCCCGCAGGGAGGGGCGGGGGGTGGTGAAAGAGGGGAAAGAGAGAAAAAAAACCTGTGAGACTCTGCTTTTATTAAGATCTGTGGGCATTATCCCCTAGGCTCTCCTTCTGGAGTTGCGGGTTGGCTAGTTTAAAGAAAACATATGCAAAGCGAGAAACTGATTTATGTGACTCTGGTGTTGACCATCAGGCTTTTTAATGGTCAGTAGCTGTGGGCATGCTGGGTTTTGGGTCACTGGGATGAGGAACAAGGGGGCTGTTGTGGGAAGTCAGGGACCCCAAACGGAGGGACCAGCTGAAGCCATGGCAGAAGAATGTGGATTGTAAAGATTTCATGGACATTTATTAGTTCCCCAAATTAATACTTTTATAATTTCTTATGCCTGTCTTTCCTGCAGTCTCCAAACATAAATTGTGAAGATTTCATGGACACTTACCACTTCCCCAGTCAATACCCTTGTGATTTCCTATGCCTGTCTTTACTTTAATCTCTTAATCCTGTCAGCTGAGGAAGATGTATGTGGCCTCAGGACCATGTGATAATTGCATTAACTGCACAAATTGTAGAGCATGTGTGTTTGAACAATATGAAATCTGGGCACCTTGAAAAAAAGAACGGGATAACAGCAATTGTTCAGGGAATAAGAGAGATAACCTTAAACTCTGACTGCCAGTGAGCCAGGTGGAACAGAGCCGTATTTCTCTTCTTTCGGAAGCAAATGGGAGAAGTATCACTGAATTCTTTTTCTCAGCAAGGAACATCCCTGGGAAAGAGAATACGTGCCTGGGGGTATAGGCCTATAAACGGCCCCCCTTGGTGTCCCCGTCTCTTACGGATGAGGCTGTAGGGGTGAAATAGACCCCAGTCTCCCATAGCGCTCCCAGGCTTATTAGGAGGAGGAAATTCCTGTCTAATAAATTTTTGGTCAGACCAGTTACTCTCAAAACCCTGTCTCCTGATAAGATGTTATCAATGACAATGGTGCCCAAAACTTCATTAGCAATTTTAATTTTGCCCCGGTCCTGTGGTCCTGTGATCTCACCCTGCCTCCATTTGCCTTGTGATATTTTATTACCTTGTAAAGTACTTGATGTCTCTGACCCACACCTATTTGCACACTCCGTCCCCTTTTGAAAATCCCTAATAAAAACTTGCTGGTTTTTGCGGTTTATGGGGCATCATGGAACCTACCGACATGTGATGTCTTCCCTGGACGCCCAGCTTTAAAATTTCTCTCTTTTATACTCTGTCCCTTTATTTCTCAAGCCGGCCGATGCTTAAGCAAAATAGAAAAGAACCTACGTGAATATCGGGGCAGGTTCCCCGATAGGGGGCTGTGTCACAAACAGCCACACAGGAAGGGGAAGTTTTTTTTTTTTTTAAATTTTTTAAAACAATACTTTAAGTTCTAGGGTACATGTGCACAACGTGCAGGTTTGTTACATATGTATACATGTGCCATGTTGGTGTGCTGCACCCATTAACTCGTCATTTACATTAGGTATATCTCCTAATGCTATCCCTCCCCCCTCCCCCCACCCCACAACAGGCCCTGGTGTGTGATGTTCAGGAAGGGGAAATTTTAACAAGGCCAAAGGTGATAGGGTACTATTGGTTTTAAAATAACTACGTTGGTCCAAAAATGGATGCTGAGGTAGCAACCATACGAACAAATTTATGACAAATCCTAATGCTAGATCTATGAGGTAACAATATCCAAATTTTACAGATTTCAAAATACATACTATGTAACTCTGGCTTTTTGATAGAAGACAACTATGTTGGTATTGTTCTTGGGCCCAATTTTTGGTCTTCAAAATTATATCTACTATTAAAATCAATAGTGCTATTCATGGAAGTGTGATGTGACATACTGGGCAAAGATCAACCTAAAAAATGAATTTCTGGGTTAGTGCTGGTACTACCGCACAAAGTGGAAAGTCTTGATGCATTTTTTTTTTTTTTTTTGGTGAGTGGGGAAGGTCAATGGCAGTGTTGGAGATGGTGACATAATTAATTTTCCTTTAGTTATTGACATAATTCTAGATACTCCTAGGTATAGAAATATGTTTATTTTTGACTTAATGACTTTCTATTTCTGAAAAAGTGAATGAAAAGAAGATCACCATTTAATGTTTCTCCTATAGCTTGAGAGAATGAGAGAATGTTTCTGTAGTTTCACAGTGTCTGGTCTCTTCAATTCTTAAGGCAGGCTGAAAAACATCTGTTTTGATGCTGTAAGTTGTCTCATTATGATTTCTCACCAGCAATAAAAACTGTTTGCTTCACACTATATGCACCCAAATACGCAGTTTCCTGTAGATGTGGTTTATTTTCATTTTCCCTTTTAAATTTTAACTTCTAATAATAATTGATATTTTGTCAAAATCATGGGTTTTTGAGTCAGTCAGGCAGGTCTTACGTATATTTTAATCCTAGTCCAAACACTTTCTAAAGGGGAAAATGCTATCTACCTTGTAGAATTGTCATGAGAATTAAGTGAGACAACCTTGTACACGGTTGTCACTCAGTATGTGTTAGTTATCTTCCCTCCCTTTATTGACCTCTCCCAAGGCTGATTGGTAACAATGGCTAGATTTGGATTGCCAATAGAGACAATACTTTTTGCTTTCTAGATAAGAAGACCTTGATTATTTGCCTTAAGATCTATGATTCAATTTAGAAAGCATGCTGATACTAAGAAAAAATAGTTCTTTAAAAACGTATCTTACTAAATATCAAGACTGTAGACATTATTTTTACAACATGCTCTCAAAGAACTCCATTCTTTATTTTCTAAATTTAAATAATTCTTAGACATTCATAACAATGGCAAAGATCTATGAAACTTTAATCCAAGCATCTACTCACATGTAAGAAACCTAGAAAAAAATGTTATTTTCTTAAGTTCACAAATTTATTTCCTTAGAAAATCTTTGTCTCTTAGGAAATTGTACATATTTAGATGTACACAATAAATTATGTGGTTTGTTATTTTAGAAAAAGACCAGAATGGGTGGGAACTAATTAAGGAAGAGTCAGGTCTTTAAAATCATAAGCACCTGCACATATAAAACAACATACAAAGAATAAAAATAAATGCTCAGTACCTAATTAAAATTTATACTACCTAATTGTGCTTTAAACAGCACATAATTAAAACATGCATACATTTAGTAGGCTATTTTCTAAAAGTGAAATGCATTTCAAACAGGAAGTAAATAAAAACCTGCCTTATCTGGCCTGTTTTACCCAGGAAACTTCACCAAGGCTAAAACTTTTTAGTAATTAAAGTGCAATTAAATTGGATTTTAAACTCCATATCTTTTATTTTTAAAAAAAGACCACATGAAACTTTGATTTCTTTATCTGTTTATGAGCGGTTTAGAATAGATGGGCACTTTGGCTCTATGTTTCATGATGAACACTCTATTAAGGACAATGCTTCTTTCTCCCTAGGTTTTGGGTCTCTGACTGTATTTGCTGTCAGAGAAAATTTACCTAAGTATCCCAAAATGCCATAGGAGAAAATTGGCCTTAATGGGAATGTGAAATGTATCTTAATTTCTCTGTCATCTTTCTTTTTTATGCCCTTTTCTCTGTGCACACTTTTTTCTTTAGGTACTTGGTGCTCTGCTGCCCTCCAGCCCTTCTTGTCACTATGGGGAATAATTTACTAAGCCAGTGGTTTAAAACTGAGTTTCTCTGAAGGCTTCAGGCATGCCTTTGAGGGGTGAGGGGGTTGCTGATAGCGATGCACCATTAACCTGCTTCAATCAGAACAGTTCTGGTGGTGTCTGCTTTATTTTCCACAAGGCTTTGGAAGATTTTGTTCAAAGGAAAGTTTTAGCTGTTAAAGAGAAAGTTTGTAAGTTACAATAAGACTTTGACACCATTAAAAATTTTTCCAACATACAGAAAAGTTGAAATATTAATAGAGTTAACATTTGCATGCCTTCCATTGAGACTCCACAGTCGTTAACATTTTAGTCTGTCTGCAGAATCATTTCTGAGAAAATTGTCCTCCAAAACAGTGCAGATACATCTCCTAAAAATAAGGACATTCTGTCACATAGGTATAATACAATTGTTGCACCTAGAAATTTCACAACAATTCTCATGTATTAACTAACAGTAAATGTCGTGAGTAAAAATTTTGGGTTATGTCCCATTAGTCTAAAATAGCCGTCCCACAATTTTATTTTTCACATTTAATTATTTAGAAGACAAGACCAGTTATTTAGTGGAATGTCTGCATTTTGAGTTTGTTTGTTTGCTTCTCGTGGTGTCCTTTAATTGGTTTCTTTACCCCTGTATTTCCTATAAACTGTAGAATAGGTCTAAAGGCTCAAATAGATTCAATCAATCATTTTTGGCAAAGAGATTTTCACAAGATCCTGTATTGCATCAGGAGATGTAAAGTGACACTATTAGTGATACTAGGTTTGATTACTTAGTTAAGGTGGTAACTACAAGATTTCTCTATTGCAAAGGTAAATTTTCCCTTTCACAGCGGACAATCCTAAGAGTGAGACGTCCATAAAATGTGAATATCCCATTCCATCAACTTTCCTTCTGATGGTTTTAGCACCCACTGATAATCTTTTACTGAATTATTTTTTAAAATTACATTTCATTTTAAAAGGATCATTTCTTCTACTTTTAATACATCCCTTTTTTTCTGTAATAACATTTTAAACCATCAACTGGCAGTGAGTTATAGTTTAATTTTAACATGTGAGGTAAATGCTTACTTCTTTTCCCTTCAATCACCAGTTTTCAAGTTAAGGAGTTGAATAATTATTGCCTGCAATGATAGCAAGTGAGTGTCTTTTCCTTCTTTCTGCCTTCCCTCTCACCGTCCTTTCTTTCCTTCCCTATTTGCCCTCTTGCATTTTCTTTATAAGCATGATGATATTTTCAGGAATTTTTATTTATTCAATGCAATGCAACAAATTACAGTTACTAATTCTGGTGCCCAAGTCATCCCAAATGTGGCCAGTGGGAGCACCTTTAAACTGGCTCTTCTATCCATTTGATAGATTCCTAGCAGTTTTTGAATACTTCCTTGCTTTCTGACACCCACTGGCCCATGTTTTCACTTTGTACTTTCCATGTCTGAGACATAGAATCAGCCATTTCTCCAAGGAGAACTGGTCCCCACCCAATTTTAAAAACTATATATGTTTTTATATGTTACCCAGTATGTATTCTTTTGTATTTGAAGCAGGACAGGCCTCATGGGTATGTGGCTAGTGCAGTCACATAGGGACACATGTTCAAAAGGGCCCTGTGCTTGTGTGTTTGCAATCTCAAAATTCCTAATAATTCTCTCCTAGAATTTGTGTTTTGTAAGTGAAGTCTGATGGGACAATTGAGCATGCACTGGGGTTTGGAGTCTGGACTCATGCTGAGGCTCACTCCCTGCTGCCACTCTGGAATCAGAACTCAACTGTCTACTCTCCAGCCCTCTGTTGTCCTGGCAGCAGAGCCTCTTGGAGTGTGCCTGCCTGAGATCCATCTTGCTCTCTGCCCCTGACAAGGGAGGGTTCCTGTCCTGGGTGCAAGCCTTGCAGCATCTTGGGGCAGGGCATAGTGGCCACCCTCCCTGTTTCTTGCTAGCAGCACCACCATCGGCTGCACCTCTGTCGGAATGCTTCTGGAATCTTCTGCTCAATATTATGTTTGTGAGATTCGTCTATATTGTAGCACCTAGTTGATATTTGTTCATTTCCATTGCGTAAAGTATATTCCATTGTATGAATGTGCTATTCATCCATTTACCATTTTCTACATTACCTTGCTAATTTTAGCTCTTAAAGAAAAAGCCACTGTGGACATTCTTATATTTTCCAATGTAAAATTTGTTAGCTATATGTGTAGGAATGATATACAGGGTATGCATATATTCGACTTTATTGGATAACACCAAATAGTTTCCCAAAGTGGATGTAACAATTTATGTCTCTAAGAACAACATATGAATTCCTGTTTTGTTCCACTGTCTTACAACATTGATATTGTGAGTTTTTTATTGATGTTACATTGAGACTTGCTTGTGGTATTATTATTATTATTATTTTAACTTTCAGTTCTGGGATACATGTGCAGAACCTGCAGGTTTGTTACATAGGTATACATGTGCCATGGTGGTTTGATGCACCTATCAACCTGTTAACTAGGTTTTAAGCCCTGCTTGCATTAGCTATTTGTCCTGATGCTTTCCCTTCCCTCGTGGCCACCTCCCACCCCTGACAGGCCTTGGTGTGTGTTGTTCCCTCCCCTGTGTTCATGTGTTCTCATTGTTCCACTCCCACTTATGAGTGAGAATAGGCAGTGTTTGGTTTTCTGTTCCTCTGTTAGTTTGCTGAGGATGATGGCTTCCAGCTTCATCCATGTCCCTGCAAAGGACATGAACTCATTCCTTTTTGTGGCTGCATAGTATTCCATGGTGTATATGTGCCACATTTTCTTAATCCAGTCTATCACTGATGGGCATTTGGGTTGGTTCCATGTCTTTGCGATTGTGAATAGTGCTGCAATAAATATAAGCGTGCATGTATCTTTATAATAGAATAATTTATGTTCCTTTGGGTATATACCAAGTAATGGGATTACTGGGTCAAATGATATTTCTGGTTCTAGATCCTTGAGGAATCACCATACAGTTTCTCACAATGGTTGAACTAATTTACATTGCCACTAACAATGTAAAAACATTCCTATTTCTCCACATCCTCTCCAGCATCTGTTGTTTTCTGACTTTTTAATAATTGCCATTCTGACTGCTGTGAGATGATATCTCATTGTGGTTTTGATTTGCATTTCTGTAATGACCAGTGATGATGAGCTTCTTTTCATATGTTTGTTGGCTGCATAAATGTCTCCTTTTGAGAAGTGTCTGCTTATATCCTTTGCCCACTTTTTGATGGGGTTGTCTGTTTTTTTCTTGTAAATTTGTTTAAGTTTCTTGTCGATATTAGACTTTTGTCAGATGGATAGATTGCAAAAATTTTCTCCCATTCTGTAGGTTGTGTGTTCGCTCTGATGATAGTTTCTTTTGCTGTGCAGAAGCTCTTTAGTTTGATTAGATCCCATTTGTTAATTTTAGCAATTGTTTTTGGTGATTTCATGGTAAAATCTTTGCCCATGCCTATGTCCTGAATGGTATTGTCTAGGTTTTCTTCTAGGGTTTTTATGGTTTTGGGTCTTACATTCAAGTCTTTAATCTACCTTGAGTTAATTTTTGTATAAGGTGTAAGGAAGGGATCCAGTTTCAGTTGTCTGCATATGGCCAGTCAGTTTTCCCAGCACCGTTTATTAAATAGGGAATTCTTTCCCCATTGCTTGCTTTTGTCCGGTTTGTTGAAGATCAGATGGTTGTAGATGTGTGGTCTTATTTCTGAGGTCTCTATTCTGTTCCATTGGTCTATATGTCTTCTTTGGTACCAGCACTATGCTGTTTTGGTTAGTGTAGCCTTGTAGTATAGTGTGAAGTCAGGTAGCGTGATGCCTCCAGTTTTGTTCTTTTTGCTTAGGATTGTCTTGGCTACGCAGGCTCTTTTTTGTTCCATATGAATTTTAAAGTAGTTTTTTTCTAATTCTGTGAAGAATGTCAATGGTAGTTTGATGGGAATAGCATTGTATCTATAATTACTTTGGCCAGTATAGCCATTTTCACCATACTGATTTTTCCTATCCCTGAGGATGGAATGTTGTTCCATTTGTCTGTGTCCTCTCTGATTTCCTTGAGCAGTGGTTTGTAGGTCTCCTTGAAGAGGTCCTTCACGTCCCTTGTTAGCTGTATTCCTAGGTATTTTATTCTCTTTGTAGCAATTGTGGATGGAGTTCTTTCATGATTTAGCTCTCTGCTTATCTACTGTTGGTAAATAGGAATGCTTGTGATTTTTGCACATTGATTTTGTACCCTGAGACTTTGCTGAAGTTGCTTATCAGCTTATGGAGATTTTGGGCTGAGATGATGGGGTTTTCTAAATATAGGATCCTGTCGTCTGTAAACAGAGACAATTTGACTTCCTCTCTTCCTATTTGAATACCTTTTATTTCTTTCTCTTGCCTGATTGCCCTGGCCAGAACGTCCAATACTTTGTTGAATAGGAGTGGTAAGAGAGGGAATCCTTGTCTTGTGCCAGTTTTCAAAGGGAATGCTTCCTGCTTTTGCCCATTCAGTATGATATTGGCTGTGGGTCTGTCATAAATAGCTCTTGCTATTTTGAGGTATCTTCCATGGATGCCTAGTTTATTGAGACTTTTTAGCATGAAGGGATATTGAATTTTATAGAAGGCCTTTTCTGAATCTATTTAGATAATCAGGTGGTTTTTGTCATTGGTTCTGTTTGTGTGATAATGTTTATTGATTTTTATATGTTGAACCAGCCTTGCCTCCCAGGGATGAAGACGACTTGATTGTGGTGGATAAGCTTTTTGATATGCTATTGGATTCAGTTTGCCAGTATTTTATTGATTTTCGTATTGATGTTCATCAGGGATATTGGCCTAAAGTTTTTTTTTTTTGTTATTGTGCCTCTGCCAGGTTTTGGTATCAGGATGATGCTGGCCTCATAAAATGAGGTAGGGATGAGTCTCTATTTTCAGTTGTTTAGTATAGTTTCTGAAGGAATGGCACCAGCTCCTCTTTGTACTTCCGATAGAATTCGGCTGTGAATCCGTCTGGTCCTGGGCTTTTTTTGGTTGGTAGGCTATTTCGGTTGGTAGGCTACTGTCTTAGTTTCAGAACTTGTTATTGGTCTATTCAGGGATTCGACTTCTTCCTGGTTTAGTCTTGGGAGGGTGTATATGTACAGGTATTTATCCATTTCTTCTAGATTTTCTAGTTTATTTCCATAGGAGTGTTTACAATATTCTCTGACGGTAGTTTCTATTTCTGTGGGGTCAGTGGTGATATCCCCTTCATCATTTTTTTATTGTGTCTATTTTATTCTTCTCTCTTTTCTTTTTCATTATTCTAGCTAGTAGTCTATTTTATTAAGAATTTTAAGAAGAAAAAAAACCAGTTTCTGGATTCATTGATACTTTTGAAGGGTTTTTTGTGCCCCTATTTGCTTCAGTTCTGCTCTGATCTTACTTACTTCTTGCATTACACTAGCTTTGGATTTGTTTGCTCTTGCTTCTCTAGTTCTTTTAATTGTGATTTTAGAGTGTCAATTTGAGATATTTCTAGCTTTCTGATGTGGGCATTTAGTGCTATAAATTTCCCTCTTAATACTGCTTTAGCTGCGTCCCAGAGATTCTGGTACATTGTCTGTTTGCTCTCATTGGTTTTAATGAACTTGTTGATTTCTGCCTTAATTTCATTATTTGCCCAGGAGTCATTCAGGAGCAAGTTGTTCAACTTCCATGCAGCTGTGTGGTTTTGAGTGAATTTCTTAATCCTGAGTTCTAAATTGATTGCACTGTGATCTGAGAGACTGTTTGTTACGATTTCAGTTTTTTTGCATTTGCTGAGGAGTGTTTTACTTCTGATTATGTAGTTAATTTTAGAGTAAGTTCCATGTGATACTGAGAAAAATGTATATTCTGTTGTTTTGGGTTGGAGAGTTCTGTACATATCTATTAGGTCCACTTTATCCAGAGCTAAGTTCAAGTCCTGAATATCCTTGTTAAGGTATTCAGGTAATATGGGCTAATTTTCTGTCTCATTGATCTGTCTAATATTGACAGTACGAGTTAAAGTCTCCACTATTATTGTGTGGGAGTCTAAGTCTCTTTGTAGGTCTCTAAGAATTTGTTTTATTAATCTGGGTCTCCTGTGTAGGGTGCATATATATTTAGTATAGTTAGCTCTTGTTGTTGAATTGGTCCCTTTAGCATTATGTATTGCTCTTCTTTGCCTTTTTTGATCTTTGTTGGTTTTAAGTCTGTTTTGTCAGAGAGTAGGATGGCAACCCCTGCTTTTTTCTGCTTTCTATTTGCTTGGTAAAATTTCCTCCATCCCTTTATTTTGAGCCTATGTGTGCCTTTGCACGTGAGATGGGTCTTTTGAATATAGCACATTGATGGATCTTGACTCTTTATTCAATTTGCCAGTCTGTGTCTTTTAACTGGGGGGCATTTAGCCCTTTTACATTTAAGGTTAATATTGTTATGTGTGAATTTGATCCTGTCATGATGATGCTAGCTGGTTATTTTGCACACTAGTTGATGGTGTTTCTTCATAGTGTCATTGGTCTTTTTATTTTTTTGTGTTTTGCAACAGCTGGTACCAGTTTTTCCTTTCCATATTTAGTGCTTCCTTCAGGAGCTCTTGCAAGGCAGGCCTGGTGGTAACGCATTTCATCAGCATTTGCTTGTCGGAAAAGGATTTTATTTCTCCTTTGCTTATGAAGCTTAGTTTGGCCAGATATGAAATTCTGGTTTGAAAATCCTTTTCTTTAAGAATGTTGAATATTGGCCTCCACTCTCTTCTGGCCTGTAGGGTTTCTGCTGAGACACAGACACTGTTAGTCTGATGGGCTCCCGTTTGTGACCAGGCCTTTCTGTCTGGCTTCCCTTAACATATTTTCCTTCGTTTTGATCTTGTAGAATCTGATGATTATGTGTCTTGGGATTGATCTCCTCGTGGAGTATCTTAGTGGGGTTCTCTGTATTTCCTGAATTTGAATGTTGGCCTGTCTTGCTAGGTTGGGGAAGTTTTCCTGGATAATATCTTGAAGTGTGTTTTCCAACTTGGTTCCATTCTCCCTGTCTCTTTCAGGTACTCCTATTAGTCATAGGTTCGGTCTTTTTACATAGTCCCATATTTCTAGGAGGTTTTGTTTGTTACTTTTCATTCTTTTTTCTCTAATCTTCTCTGCCTGCCTTGTTTCAGCAAGATAGTTTTCCATCTCTGATATTATTTTTTCTGCTTGATTGATTCGAATATTGATACTTGTGCATGCTTCACAAAGTTCTCGTGCTGCGTTTTTCAGCTCCATCAGGTCATTGATGTTCCTCTCTAAACTGGTTATTCTAGTTAGCAGCTCCTCTAACCTTTTATCAAGGTTCTTAGCTTCTTTGCATTGGGTTAGAACATGCTCCTTTACCGCAGTGAAGTTTGTTATTATCCACCTTCTGAAGCCTACTTCTGTCAATGCGTCTATCTCATTCTCTGTTCAGTTCTGCGCCCTTGCTGGAGAGGTGTTGTGATCATTTGGAGGAGAGGAGGCACTCTGGCCTTTTGAGTTTTCAGCATTTTTTCATTGATTCTTTCTCATTTTCATGAGTTTGTCTAGTTTCAATCTTTGAAGCTGCTGACCCTTGGATGAGGTTTTTGTGGGGACATTTTTGTTGATGCTGTTGTTGTTGTCTTCTGTTCGTTTTTCTTTCAATAGTCAGCTTCCTCTTCTGTAGGGCTCCTGCTGCGGTTTGCTGGGGGGTCACTTCAGACTCTATTCATCTGGTTCACTCCTGCACCTGGAGATGTCACTCAAGGAGGCTGGAGAATAGCAAAGATGGGTGCCTGCTCCTTCCTCTGGGATCTCTGACCTTGAGGGGCACTGACCTGATGCTCCTATATAGGATGTCTGATAACTCCTGTTGGGGGTTCTTACCCAGTTGGGTGGCACAGGAAGCAGGACCCATTTAACGAGGCACTTTGGCTGTCCCTTGGTGGAAGGGGTGTGCTGCACTGTGGGGAAACTCACACTTCTGGGCTGCCTGGATTCCTCAGAGCTAGTAGGAGGAAAGATTAATTCTGCTGATCCATGGAGACTATGGCCACCCCTTCCACTAGGGGCTCAGGCCCAGAGAGATCAGAGTTCTGTCCCTAAGTCCCTGGCTGAAGTTGGAGTCACTGAAGGGAAGCCCTGCAGCTGCAGTGTTTGCTGCCACCCCTCCACCAAGGAGCTCAGACAGCTTACACCACAGGCAGCCGCAGCAGTGGTGATGGCCACCCCTCTCCCTGGGAACTCTGCAGGCTTAGGCTGATTCTAGCCAAGTGGGTGTTGAGAATCTGGGTGGCTCCATGGTCTGGGCCCAAGGCCCTGGTTGCATGGGCTTCTGAGTGGGATCTTCCAATCCATGGGTTGCACAGTTCTGTGGAAAAAGCATGGTTTCCCAGGCTGGGTAGCATACTCACTCACCTACTCCCTGGGATGAGGGTGGAGGCTCCCCTGCCCCTTGTGGCTCTCAGGTGGGCCACCGCACCACACTGCTCTTGCTTCCTCTCTGTGGGTCACACCAGCTGCCTAGTCAGTCCTAATGACAGAATCTGGATACCTTGGTTGCCTGTGCAGGATTTGCACGCTGTTTTGAATCTTTTCAATGGGAGCCTCCTATTGCCACTGCTTCTAGTCCGCCATCTTGGCCTCGCCTACCCTTGCTTGTGGTATTATTTCGCATTTCCTTATTATGAAAGCAGTTGAGTAGTTTTTCTTATGTCTGCTGGATAATTGAGTATACTCTTTTTGTGAAGAGCTTGTTTAAGTCTCTTGTTCGTTTGTGTGTGTGTGTGTGTGTGTGTGTGTGTGTGTTTTCTTCTTATTATTTTGAAGGACTTTTTTTCTATTTTTGGTTCTAAATGTTGCAAAAATCTTCTCTTGCTCTGAGTCTTGACTTTAGCGGTCTTTCTGGTATTTTTTGAGAGATAGAAGTTTGTGTATAATTAAGTCATCTAAGTTATAAGATTTGTCATCTCAAAAATATGTTCATATTATTTTCCAGAAGATTTATTGCTTTACTTTTCACACTGAGATCCACACTCCTACCAGAACTGATTTTTGAGCATGATGTGAGATAAGATCATGATTCTTTTCTTTTTCCTATGGGAAAAACATGTTGACCTACCAATTGGTTACAGAAGACCTCTGTTTCTCCACTGCTCTGCACTCCACTTTTGTCACAAATCAAGAATTTCTGTATATATAGTTCTGTTTCAGACTCTGTTCTGCACAATTGAATTAGTCTATTTGTCTTCGTTTGCTCCAGTAACGCATGGCCATCATTAATGTAGCTTTGTGATAAGTCTTTATATCTAGTATCATAAGTCTTCCAACTTTGCCCTTCAAAATTGTCTTAGGTATTCTCAGCCCTTAGCATTTTGAAATAAAATAAATTTCAAAGCAGCTTGTCAATTTCCACAACAAACACTGCCAAGCTTTGATTAGGATTGCATTTAATCTACAGAGCAATTTAGGGGAGAACTAATAACTTTATGATTTTGTGTCTTCCCAACTTCTGAAGGTGGTCTATCATTCATTGTGAAATCTTCTTTATCTTAATAATTGTTTTATAGGTATTTGATTTTTATCCAATATAAGTAATATTTAAAAATTTGTTTTTATACTTTGTTGCTGCTGTATAGAAAGGCAATTTTATATATATTGTACATTGATGTAACCAGCAATCCTGCTAAACTCATAAATTTTTCTAATTTGTCTATAGATACTTTTAGCTTCTCTAGGTATTGTTACACCTTTTGTGAGTAAAAGTAATTTGTTTTTTTCCCTTTCCAATCCTTATGCCATTTTTCCTTCCCCCATTCCTTTCTTTCCCTTTTCCTTCCCCACTTCTTTTCCCTCCTTCCCCTCCTCTCTCCTTCCTCATTCTCCTTTTCCTCTTCCTCCTTCTTTTTCATTTTATTGCATTCACTGGCTAAAACCTCCAATATAATGTTCTATTGAAATGCTGACAGTAAACATTCTTGTCTTATTTCAACCACAGAGGAAAAGCTTTCATTATTTTATTATTAAATGTGATGTTTTCTGTAGGTTTTTATTTATTTGATCTTTCTTTATTTTCCTAGGTATCCTTACCCAGATAAGGAAGGTTTTCTTTCTTATTTTTGTAACAGGTTCTTTTTTGTTGTTCTATTATTATTTTTTTTTTTTTTGAGTGGTGAGTAGACGTTAAATTTTATTAAAGACTTCTTGGTAAATTTGCTTTCTCTTTTCTTCTTCTGATTGTCCTCAGTAGGTGTTTATAAATTTTATTTGTCAAGGCTTTGTCAAAGGACCAATTTGGGCTTTGCTAATCCTTTGTATGGAATTTTTGACTTCATTTTCTCCTTTCCTTACCTTTTAATTTACTGCTAATTTTATAATTTCTTAAGATAACCATTTATACAATTATTCTATTTCTATAAAAAATGTCTTCTGATCATGGCTTTAATCACATCCCACAAACATTAGTATGCAATATTTTCATTATCATTTAGTAAAAAACACTTTCTAATTTTCATTTTGAGTCTTGTTTAAAAAGTGATTTATTTAGAAGTCTATTGCTTAATATTCTAAACACATGAAGATTCTCTAGTTGTTTTTTTAAAATTATATTTTAGCTTTATTCCATTCTACTTAGATAATATGCTTTATAATTCCAGTACTTTCAAATGAGTTAAAATTTACTCTATTGCCCAGCATACCGTCAGTTTAGATAAATATTGTTTGTACTTACAGAGATATGAATTATGCAGTTGCCAGATTCAGTTATTATTTATGTCAAAATTTTTAATAGTATTCTTAAAGGCTTCTGTATCTTGTCTGCTTGTTTTTATCAGTTACTTTATATATTTTTTCTGACTTTTTAATTATTTCATCTGAGAGGGTAATTCTGGTCTTTTAAATTCATTTTGGTCAGAGGTAACAGTGATCTAATTGTTTGTTAATAGTGTAAGAAAATACAATTGATTCTTGTATATTGATTTTATATTCTGCAAACATGTTAAATTAATTTGTTATTTCTAGTAACTTTTTTGGATGAATTCCTTAGAATTTTCTGTATACATGATCATGTTATGTTTGAATAGATGTAGTTTTAATTTTTCCACTGTGATCGTATATATTTATTTATTGCCTTACTGCATTGTTTTGCATATTACATTGCATTCAGAACACTGTTGAGTAAGAACACTGTTGAGTAAGAACACTGAGAATGAGCATCCTTGCCTTCTTTCTGAACTTGAGTGAGAAATTATCTTTCACCATTTAGCATGAGGTTTTTTATAGGATTTTGTGAATTTTTTTTTATGAGGTTCAGGAAGTTCCATTATGTTTCTATTTACATAAGAATTTTTATCATGAATGGGTGAATGTGTATTGAATTGTATCAAGTGGTTTTTTTTTTTGTTGTTGTTGTTGTTTTTTTGACAAGGTCTCACTCTGTCATCCAGGCTGGAGTGCAGTGATGCAATAATTTGATCATAGCTTACTGCAGCCTTGAAATCTGGGCCTCACGCAATCCTCTTGCCTTCACCTGTTCCCAAGTAGCTGGGACACAGTCATGCACCACCATGCCTGGCTAATTTTTAAAATTTTTTGTAGAGATGGGTTTCTCTTTATGTTGCCAAGCCTGGCCTCAAAGTCTTGGGCTCAAGCAATCCACCCTGTTCGGCTTCCCAAAGTGATGAGATTGCAGGCATGAGTCACCACATCCAGCCTCAAATGCTTTTTTGTACTTTAATGAGATCATATATTTTTATTAATATGGTGAATGATACTGGTTATTTTTTACATTTTAAATTCACTTTGCATTCATCATATAAACCCCACTTGGTCATGGTGCATTACCCTTCTTATAAATTGCTGGACTTAATTTGCTTATACCGTGTTAAGGATTTTTGAATGTATGATTAGGAGACATATTGGTCTGTAGTTTTATTTTTTAATAATATCCTTGGTTTTAGTATCAGAGTAATGGTGACCACATACTATGAGGTATAAGTATTCACTCTTCCTTTATTCAGTATTTTTTTTTAAATGTTTGACAGAACTTAAGCTGCGTGGACTTAGAATTTTCTTTGTGGAATCGATCATCGTGGCAGACAGGAGGCAGGATTAGATTGCAGCTCTGACTCAGAGCAGCGTGCGGAGGCTCGCATTGTGAATTTTAGCTCCAGATAAACTTCAAGAACAAACCAGCAATCCTGAGAGGACCCACAGACCCTCTGAAAAAAGCGGACTGTTCCTGCAACACCCAGGAGACACCCCAAATACTGTGAGTGACCCAACTGCGGAAGCGGGAAAGGGAGATCCTCCTCTCCTGAACACACACCCCCACTGGAGAAACTGAAGGTCTGTTTGTGGGAGAGGTTTCTGACCTTACCTGGAGCTGAGTCAATTTAGAGGGCCAAGCAAAATACAGGGAGGAAGCAGCAGGTGGGATCTCGCTGGGTTCCCAAGCAAGTCATTCCTGCCTGGCACCACAGGGATCCTCTGGGAGGCAGCCAGAGGAGTAGGGGGAAATCACCACAGGGAAGAAGGTCTCCAGCTGAACTTTGTAACAATTTGAACTGGGCAAGAAGCTGAATCCGGTGTGCAACCTCCACAGGTGGGGGAGGAATCAAGCCCTTGTCTTTCGCAGCTGGGAGGCAGGTAGCCTGGGGCAAGTTCTCAAGACCAGCCTGCCCACTGCCTGGAAACAGACTCAGGGCTGTTGAGGGGGTCATGATGGGAGTGAGACCAGTTCTTTGATTTGCATGGGAGCTGGGGGGAGATCTGTGGCTGCTGATTATCCCCCATTTCCTTGACAATCTGCATGACTCAGCAGAGGCAGCCATAATCCTCCTAGGTACACAACTCCATTGACCAGGGAAGCTCACCCCAACCCCCACAGCATTCACAGCAAGACCCACACAAGGACAGTCTGAGCTCAGACACGCCTAACCCTGCCTCCACCTTCTGGGTCTTCCATATCCACCCTGGTAGCTGAAGACAAGGGGCACAGAATCTTGGGAGCTCTAAACTGTCTAGTTTGGAATAATTGCTTTTGCAAATTTTTTTTTGATTGAATAGTTACTGGGAGTGATTTTGTGGCAATACAAACTAAAAATGACATGGAAACTTTGCAGGGGCAGATTTTCCTAGAGAGGATCAAATGCTTTTTAAACAAAACATCTGTATTCATGGCACATTAGTGACAGGGCTTGAGAACCATGATTTCTTGAACTTAAGTTCTTTTAAAACCTATACCTTACTCAGAGACTAGAGAGAGAACATTCCTTCACAAAATATTTGCAGCCAATGGAAAGACTGGTGTATGACTGAAAACATTTATTCATAATTGAATATTTTTTTTTGAGACGGAGTTTCATTCTTGTCACCCAGGCTGGAGTGCAATGGTGCAATCCTGCCTCACTGCAACCTCTGCCTCCCAGGTTCAAGCGATTCTCCTGCCTCAGCCTTCTGAGTAGCTGGGATTACAGACATGCACCACCACACCTGGCTAATTTTTGTATTTTTATTAGATATGGGGTTTCACTATGTTGGCCAGGCTGGTCTTGAACTCCTGACCTCAGGTGATCTGCCTGCCTCGGCCTCCCAAAGTGTGGGGTTACAAGCATGAGCCACCGCACCCGGCCTTGAATGATGTTTTGATAATGAGACTGAAAATGATTTTACCAGCAAACCAATTAAGATAAATACACATTTATTACATATTAAACATATGGATGGTTCTAAAAAGAATATATATAAAAGACATATGCTTATTGCAAAATTGATGGGGGCAGAAAAACATACACATAAAAATTATGATATTTCCAGTTCAAAAGATATTAAGATAACCATATAGTCAAACCCCTCCTTTAAAAAATTACAGGTTACATAATTTACCAAGTGACAGAGTCAAAACTACATTGCTGGACTTCTCTCTCCAATTCCAGGCAGTTTCAAATTTACTGCCTATTACAGTATAAGATAATGTGCCAGAAAAGTCAGTTGAAGGCTACAGATTGTCAGGTAGTACTACACTTGTTCACAGGATGGGAAGGTCACCATAGGTCGGAGAAACTGGGAAGAGTTTCAATGGGAGCCAACGGCTTGAGCTGGATTAGTTGCAACTCCCCCATCACCCCTGGATGCTTACTCTGGTCAAATTTTTCCATTATCCTTCACTTTTACCTATAATTTACACTATATAAACATATACACCTATATATGCATAATTTATGCTTTCATATCTGTCTCCTCCTGTCCTCTAAAGAACATAAGTTTCACAAGAACGGTAATTTTTGTCTGTCATTTCACTGGTGTGTCTCCAGTGCCTAAAACTGTGCTTGATACTTGGTAGGGGCTTAATGAATATTTACTAAATGAATAAACCCATGAATGAGCACGGAAAATAGTTTCCTAGATTTAAGAATTTATTTATATGGAAAGTAATGAGAGACAATAGAGGCAGAAGAGGTGGAGGCTGGAATTCAAAGAACCTTGAATACTAATGGAAATAATTTGGTACTTATCTTACAATTAGTGGGTGTCATGAAGACAAAATTTTGCTGCTGGTTCTATGAACACATATGGGTTCACATTTATGAAATTATGGTATATTTATTTTATTATAATGAATACTTTTCTCTGAGGTTCTAGGTAATGTAGATGTTTATTTTAATTTTAAGATGTACTGGAAATATTATTTTGCCATGCTGTCCTGTTAAAACACTAGAAAAAAATCTCTGGAAGAGATGTTTTGCTTTGATTTTGTAGATGTATATGCATCCATTTGTAAGTGATTATTATGCACTTTGAATTAACTAATATTTTAGCAAAGTACAGAGTAAGTCCTGTTGTTACTTTTAATACATTTTGCAAAGGTTGCCTTCATGTCTCTGTGGGCCTCAGTCAATTCAAGTTAGAAATTACAAAATGTTTCAACAAGTCTTTCCTACAAAAAGCAATTCATATTTTAATTTTTTTCCTCAGTAAAGATTGTTTTCTACTGCATTTGGTTGCAGAAAGTCTTTAGTTTTATTGTATGATAAAAGCAATCAACAAGCAAATGCAAATACACTGGGAACATTTTGAGGATTTTAATTGTTTGGCTTTAACCTCACAATCTCTTTTTTCCCCATCTGGGGAAACTGGTAATATCCTTCTTTTAATTTCATTGTGTCTGGAGGATATTTTGGATTATTAATTTACAAAAGTTTTTGGCTGATCTCACATAGAACACAGATGCCAGAGGGATACACATTTTAAATAACCAATCCTAATTTTTTTTGTGATTTCTAAACCAATTATAACCCAAAGGAGCAAGAAAGGCCTATTTAAAATCTCAGTGGGCGATTGATACTTCAGGTTCAAGATGGCAGACTGAGCATGCATGTTTTCTTCCTGTGAGGCCCTGTTTTGTACAATCCAATGAAAAGCAAGGCCAACATAATGTGAATGGTGTATCCTTGACTTAGCCAGTATGTTGATCCTACTCAGCTTCCTCCCAAGATCTAGCTCCTTCCTAAGTTCCTATGGTCCTTTTGAAATTGTGTGTGTGTGCGTGTGTGTATTCTATAACAGTGCTGAAAAGCAAGAAAGGATTCTGTAAGTATACCAGATATTTTGCATAATTTTTAAGTTATAGACAGCAGGTAGGACCAGATTGATAAAGGAAATTATAATTTGAAATGGACACAGACAAAGGCAGAAGCCAGTTGCAACGGTGAGAACTGTTTTTACCACAGGAACTCCAAACAAACTCAGTATAGGGTCAGGTATAAATCAAGAAGGTCCTTGGGGCAATTACCAGGGTAATTGAGCAATAATTCTTTGTAGAGGAGCTCCATCTTTACTTAAAGCTACCAGTGGATGGGGTTTGTTCCAAGTCAAAACCCTGAGTAATTTTCTTTTAATGATGATCAAGACAGGAGGCACATAATGTATTAAGGCCAGAGAATAAAACAGAGTGAAGTTTAATAATAAGTCTTGTTCTCCACGGTGGTGTTTTCCTGTTTTATAAAATATGAAATCAGAATTATCCTTGAAATTCAGTTTTCAACTTCATAACTTTAGGAATAAAGTCAGCCCCTTAGTTTTATTTCTTGACATTGAATGTAGGCAATTGTGTAAGATTATCATTTTATATATTTTTCAAAGGCATAGTTGCACTGGAAATAAGTTACTTTAAAACATTTGGGCAACTTTTTTTGGACACACTGGAACAGTAATGTTAATGCATGCAGTCAAATAATAATATTATGAAAACAATCTTAATTTTAATCCTATTAATCTGTGTGACTTTGGGTGGTTTCTATTCTCACATGGATTTAAATGAGGCAAAGAGACATATTTTACATCAATAAAATATACTAACTACCAATAAGATGTAGCAGACTTAAATTTTTATTCATCAAGCAATATACAATTAAAATATAAAACACTCTTACATATACAATAAAAAGGAGACCCAGACAAGTAAAATATACATAAGGTTTTAGAGCATCTGATCAATAATTACTAAACTTGTTTAAATAAGTATATATGTAGATGATATACATTCTTTCAAACACCTATGGAACATGTATAGAAGTTGAACATATGTTAAGCCTCAAAGAAAATCTCAATATATTTCAAAAACTGGAAATTATTTAGGTCAAATTGATTGATCACAATATAGTAAAACTTAAAAGGGCAACCAAAGAAGATTAGAAAGTTAAATAGATATAAGAATACAGCAACAACAATGTTTTCAAATAGCTCCTGGTTAAAAGAAGAAACCACATTGAAATTATAAACTGTTTGGCAATAAGTCATAATAAAGAACAGACTATAGGAAATGCTGCCAAAGATGGTACTAAAAGGAAAATGTACATTAGAATAATATGTTAAAATGATAAAGAATGAAACTAACAAAAATGACCAATATGATAAGCCACAAATACTAGAAAGGAAAAAACTAATAAAGGTAACAAAGTCTTCATGCACAAAAACAAACAAACAAAACCATTACTATGAAAAGATCCATCAATTTGCCTCCACCCCACCTCCCACTCCCCAAAATTACAAACTTCTGGCAATTCCGAAAATGAAAAGAAAGAACCCACCACTCTCCTCTCCCTCCTTGGACTCACATATAATGCACAGCAGGGAGGAAACCACTGATCTGATTTCTATCAGCATAGGTTACTTTTGTATACTCTAGAATTGTATCTAAATGGAATTATACAGTATATACTTATTTTAAAAATGTATCCATATTGTATGTATCAATCACCAATTCCTTTCTATTGTTGAGTAGTTTTCCATTGTGTGACTATACCACAGTTTATCTATGCACCAGATGATGGCTCTAATTAACAAGCTGCTATCAACCTTTTTGTACAGGGCCTTTGGTGGACATATGTTTTCATTTCTTGCAGAGTCACAGGGTAGATTTATGTTTAACGTTTCTAATAAACTGCAAGACAGGTTTACAAAGAGGTTGTACTATTTTACATTCCACCAGCAATGTTTGTGAGTTCCAGTTGCTCTACATCCTCTCCAACATTTGTTTTCACTTTAGCTATTCTTGAGAGTGTAGTAGAAGTTACACTCTCAAGAGCAGCTGAAGTGAATTTTTAATTGGAAAATTTTACATTTCCATTTAATTGGAATTTTTAATTTGCATTTTCTGATGACTGATGATTTTAAACCTTTTTTCGTGTATTTATTGAAACTTTGAAAATCTTCCTTTGGGAAGTGCTAAAATGGTTTTGCATTTGTAACAATGGCAAATTTGGAATGGAAAGCAGAATGTAAATTAATTTTTAAAAGTACAGCTTAATTAAAGAGCCCTCGCTAATATTGACCTTGCTGTCTACCAGGCAATTAGGCACTCTTTCTTCCCTATGAAGTAAATACTATCATTTCCATTTTATTCATAAGAGACTTTTAACTATAACTTGATCAAAAGGGACATACCTAGGAACATTTTTAAAAAGCAAGTTAACATGAGCTCAACTTAATAAAATTGTTAATAACATTGTTTAATGAAAGCATTTAATAGGATCATATGTTTATATGACCCTAAAAGAGTTTAAGCTGTTTGAAATACTTTTATTTTCTGGTTTTATTCATCTAAGTTTGGTCTTATTTATAATTATTCATTTCTATAATTGAAACAAACAATAAGATTCTATTATATATAATAATATTTTGTTTTAAAGTACTTACTACACAATTCTGCTCTTGTAGAAATCATATTTCTGACTGAAGTTCCTATTTAAAATTTTACTAATTATATTACCAATAATATGAAAGAATCAAAACTCATATTACTAAAATATATACCATTATTGTTTAAAAAAACATAAAAATAATGAAGCAGAAGAAAATAAAATACTTTTAAAATTAAAGTCCATTTAAAGAACTAAAATAAAGAACATTAACTTTCTTTGGTAATCAGTGACATAAAAACACCCTGGGCCATGCTTTTGTGAGGATGATATATTAATCATAAGAAACGTTGCCTCAGCCTTGAACCAGAAGGCCCCTTTTTAATAAATTAGTTTTCTGGTGCCTTCTTCTGGATAAAGCAGGCCCAATGGAGAAATCTGTCTAGTGGGCATTAAACAAGTGGTGATGCAGAAGGCACTTTCTTTTATGTTCTGCCTAACTTTTAATCATCAGTCTAAAAGCTTTTTACAAAGCCATTGGATAGTCCCCCGTGGTTAACACAACTATATCAAAGTACAGTACTGTAAAATCTTTCTGAATAGTGCTGGGGTAAGAGGATGGGGACTGAGTCAGGAGCCCAGATATCCTGCTTACCTTCATTAGGATCTGGATAGCTGGATTCACGTTACCAAAACTGACCATGCCTTTCGTGAGTGTGTGTGTGTGTGTATGTGTGTGCCAGTGTGTGTGTGTGTGGTTCCTCTTGTTATACTTTCTGATGTGAGTGAGTACACTTTTTATCACTTTTTGGAGGCAGAGCTCTGTCTTCTCCTAATGACCTCAGGACACTAGTAACAATTATCCTTGACATTGGTATAAAACTCCAGATGTTTAAAAGCCATGTATATTTATGGATTTATGAGCACCTGCTTCCAGCCTTTTGAAGTCAATTTCAGATTTGAGGTAGGTGTCTGAGACCCGAAGAGTACATGGTTTGACCAACGCCATATTACCCAATAAAGTAGAATTACTGGGATTAGAAGCCAGGTATCCTCACTTTTTCCAAAACTGTACCAAGCCCTCAGTGTTAGACAGCCTCTTCTAGTTGAATGCTTTCGTCGTGTGTAGGTTTGGGATTGGAGAATTTATTTGGGAAAAGGCCATTTCTCTGAAGCATTCCAATTTTGTGAAGTACTAAAAAGTAAAATTTCTATCATAAATATACAGCAGGGTACAAAGTGTTTATACTTTTCAACTTATGTAATTTTTTTCTTTTACTTTTTTCTATTTTAACCTGCTAATCATTTAATTTTCATCTCACATCACCAAGATTGGGTAAGTTAGAAGACTAAAATGATACTTTCACATTAACATTTAGGATTTCCTTATTTTAACACAATTTTTGTAAAATTTAGGAAATTCTGAAGCATGAGGACACATAAAAGGAACGTAATGAGTTTTAAAGGTCTATAGATCTGGGTTCTGTCATTTATTAGCTGTTTCATTGTGAAGACATGATTTAACTTCTTTGACTCTTGTTTCTCTCACCTGTAAAATTAGAATAGTAATACCTGACTCAAACAATTGTCAGGATGTTTAAAAGCCATCATATAATTAAAACGTCTAGCATGGTGTGTAGCTTATAGGTTTTCAAGTAATGGTAGCTACTATTAGTATTGTTATTTTTGTTAAGTTGCTTTTAGCAAGGATTTTTTGTCAAGAACACATGCATTTGCATACATTAGAATATCTTTTAAGAGTACTTTGTCTTTGGGTATAATTTATTTGAACTCTTCAGAGTATATTTGAAACATAATTATTTCTTTATCAGATGAAGAATCTGAGGCACAAAGAGGTCAACTGGCTTGCCCAAGGGTACTTGGCAGGTAAGAATTAGGATAATGCTAAGTCTTCTCTTTCTTGGCCAATAGGTGTACACTGTCCCATATGTACTTCCATGTATGCCTATGGAAGAAAATGTCTACCAAATTGATTTTTTTACACATGTATTTTAGGTCTCAAAAACATCTTCTACCATATTGGAACAGAAAAAAATGAAGACAATGAGCATATCCTCTTACACATGACTTCTATTGAAATGTTTCCAAATCTTAAATGCTATAATATTTGCTTTGTTCCTTATCAACTTTTACAAACAAATCTTTAGAAACTGCTTTACAAAAATAATATATGTTCCCATTTATTTATATGTTCATTGCTTACCTCCATTCACTAGAATGTAAGCTCCATGATGGGAGAAATACTGTCAGCATATTTTCATTTCATTGTATATCCTTAATACTTTGAGTAATGAATAGATGAGTGAAACGTGTAGAATTTAGTAAGTATAAATATGCAAAAATAAAACTTTCAATTTAACGTACCCATTTTAAATACCGTATATAGTTTTTTTACAAAAATGTGATAATGCTGTTTTGTAATAAGTTCTTTTTTTAAATTTTAACAATATAAATGAACATTTTTGCATGTCAATAAATATTTGTCTTTTTAAATGTATGGGTAACATTTCCATATACAAATATGACATAATTTATTTTTTGTTGTTGGGCATTTACATTGTTTTCAGTTGCTCTATATTATAGGCAATGCTTCAGTCTTTGCATGTATCCATAACACTTCTCTTTGGCTACATTACTAGAAGTAGAGTTTGCATTTCATGGATTTTAATTACAAGAATTGCCAAGTTGTCTTCCAGAAAGATGCTGCTAATTTGTACAATAAGCAGCATTGTAGGAGAGGGTTCATTTTCCTGAACTTTAACCTCACTAATATTTTCTTTCATTATAATTCATATTGTTATTTTAAAATCTTCACAAATTTGGTAAAAGTGGGATCTTCTTTTATGATTTGCATTAATTTTATTGCAAATGAGCTTTTACTGTTTTCTTATGCTTATTATTTAATTTGTTTTATTAATTTTTCTCTTGGTACTCTTTCTTATTAAGCTATTAATAGGACAAAGTAGAAAATAACTATTTCTCAAATTCTTTTGATTCGTAAGACATCAATTAAAAAAAAAAGAAACCCAAACCAGCATGCCTACTTCATCCTGTGTTGTGAGACATGGCTATGTGTGTCTAGGGTATTCCAGTTTCCCGAAGCATAGTAAGTGGAAAGTGACTTGGTAAAACATAAAAACAGTAAGATGGATTAAAGCCAGACAATGGAAGAGTTAAACTTTATGCTAATGAGTTATGACTTGAATCAGCAGGCAGTTACTATGAAAGAATGTACAATTTAGCCATCCCAAGTTGTTATATCTTGATGAGTGAATAGCTTACTACTTTTGCAGCAATATGTAGTTTTTAAAGTAATTTTTCTGTTAACAGGAAGGGATAATTTGGACAGGGTAGTGGGAAAAAGATCAGCTTAAAGTTTTTCTTACCTTATCTAATTTCTCCCACCCAGAATTAATGCCACTCTCCTTTCTGTTCCCTTGGTACTTTCTTCCATTATAGCACTAGCCACATGCAATTGCAGCACGTAACATCAGTATTATTTCTGTATGCATCTGTGGTGCCTACTCTAAGGCACAGTCCAAAAGGGCCTTTTCTGTTTTGTGTGTTCCCATCCTGCTGAATGGATGGTTTGGTTCAATAAAGTCGTATTAACATCAGAAGACCGAATTGCATTTCTTGTCTTGTTGGCCAGAAAGCTGATTCCTGTCCATGATTACTTGAAATGTGGATTTGGTTTAGCTAATCATATCTTTTCTCATTGTAGTTAACTAGAAAGAAGAAATTACAGTAACAAGTAATTGTTTCTTTATCGTTGTTTAAAAGTTTATTCTGATTGAGGGCTGAAGTGCTTTTCTTACTCTGCCTTATTAAACACCTAAATTTTCTCTTTCAAAATGTCATTTTGTGAAAGGATCAAGAATACTACATAAATGATAGAATCTACTTTATGGCACTGTGCTTGTAGAAATGTTATGCTTAGTTAAAATTGAGATACTCTATATGGGAGGAGAGCTCATATTGATTTGGGGTATATAATACAAAGTAAAATGAGATGATAGAAAGAAACAATGCATAGGAAAGAAAACCTATTGATTTCTCTTCTCTTGAGCATGAACCCACACATAGCTACTCAAATATTTGTGCCTTATACTATTGGAAATACATAACACAAAATAAAATAACAGCCATTATAAATGATCTAGAAAAGGCTCATTCTGAGTAACACAGCAAAGAATTCCTCTTCATTCAACTGTGTCTATTTCTGTAATGTTTTAGAACTTTTTCTCCTAATGTTAGAACTGAGACATTAATAACTAGATAAATCATATATGGAATTAATTGTGTTCCTTCAGAAGCAGCTGCTGGATCACACACCCAGAAATTAATACTTAGCAGCTTAAAATTTTACCTTTCCTCCCTTGATGTGTGACTTTGGGATTCTTACTTAACCCCATTGCTTTCTAATTTGCACATGTATTTGCACATGGTTTTTGCAAATAAGTGTTGAGAATTCAAGTTAAATATGAGAGAGGGATTCAAGTTGTGTTCTTTTTTGAGTTTCTGAACTTCCAGGCTTCAAATTTCAGGCTTCAAGAAAGGTGCTAAGTATGTCTTCCCTAAATATATTATTACCTAACAGTGATTATCTTCCCTCTGTGTATTAAAAAGTACATAGTCTTAGGATTTTTGTCTTTTTTTAACTGTATTTCAGAATGTCCTAGGATTGATTTAAAATGACGCAAATAATCTGTAACTTTTTGTTTGAATAAAGAATTCAACATCTTCATGGTATTACTGTTGCATTTGTGTATAAAGGGAGGAAAAATGGAATGCTCAAGGTGCTCTTCTGACTTAAAAATATCACGGCTGGGCGCGATGACTCACGCCGGTAATCGCAGCACTTTGGGAGGCTGAGGCGGACGGATCACGAGGTCAGGAGATCGAGACCATCATGGCTAACACAGTGAAACCCCGTCTCTCCTAACAATAGCGGGGCGTTTTGGCAGGCGCCTGTAGTCCCAGATACTCGGGAGGCTGAGGCAGGAGAATGGCGTGAACCTGGGAGGCAGAGCTTGCAGTGAGCGGAGATTGCGCCACTGCACTTCAGCCTGCGCGACAGAGCAAGACTCCATCTAAAAAAAAAAAAAATTAGCTGGGCGCCAGAGCGCTTACAGTCTCAGCTACTCGGGAGGCTGAGGCAGGAGAATCACTTGAACCCAGGAGGCAGAAGTTGCAGTGAGCCGAGATCCCACCACTGCACTTCAGCCTAGCAAGAGAGGGAGACTCTGCCTCAAACAACAACAACAACAACAAAAACAACAACAAAAACCACACTAGTATTTATATATTTTAGGAAACAAGGATGCTAATTTGAATATTTTTACCAGAGCAAATATTCCAAATATTGACAAATGATATGAATCACAAACTTAGTCTAACAGATTATATTGCAGCTGTTACTCAGTAATCTTGAAAGACTCTGTGGTGTCCTAAAAGACTCCTTTGTACAAATAACACTTCCAAGAACAGTTTCCATAACATCCATAACAGATTACACTTTTCCACGTTTTGTGAGTATAAGATTGATACTTTTATAGATGTTTTCCATTCACCATTTTATCAAAACTAGGTCTAGGAGGCAGAATAATATTATTTTTCTGGAGCTACAGGGGGAGATAAATACTTTATCCTTTTTATATTTCTGAGATTTCTATCGTCAGCATTTAGGAACACATGCACTTTCAATGTTGGCACTGTAATATCATTACTTAGCACCAGAGGGGAAAGGAATAGGTGACCTAAGAAAATAACAACTTAAAATATGGCAAAGGAAAGAGCACAGAGAGCTTTTAAAAGGCAACTATGGGACATCTAATGTTTTGCATTTACAATTCTTCTGCCTGTTGACTATAATCAACACTCCATTTTAAATTTGGATCTGTGTAGGCTCCCTTAAATATCTCACTGCAGTGCAATACTTTCTTAGCATCCCAGTGAGAACATTTGTGATGCATCCTTTTAAGGCTACATTGCTTATAGCATTTCATAAGCATTGCTTCTACATCTAAATGAAAACTATCCTGTTTATTTTTTATTTCTTAATTCCCTGCAAGGATGCCTACCAGCTGATATAAATAAGTTACTATCTTCAGTGCAGCATAATTTGCCAACTTTCTTCAGTTTGGGGTTGATAAGCCATGGATAAACTTTGAATAGATGGGGATACAGTTGGAGGGGTCCTTACAAGATGTGAACACAGCCCTTTTTTGATGGCTAAGGTGAAACTCCAAGCCACTCTCTCAAAGGATACCAGGCTTAGAGAAACAGTCCTGACATTACTCCTTTGTTTAAAAAGGTTGGTTGGGTTCTTGATTTCTCCAGTAGAGCAGGTAACTCCATAGGATGGATATGTTGCGCTCCAAAGTCATTTTGCATGAGCCCTTTTGGAAGGAGGGTGAAACATTCCTTTGTGAAGCCTTGGAGGGTAAGCCTTGCAAAGTTCTTAAAGCTTCAAGTTTTATAGAGAAACCAAGTTGTAATATACTCTACAGTTGTTTCATTTTTAGTACACTTTTGGGTATAGTTACTAATGTTGGTTTTCAAAAACAATTTCATCATTCCTATGGCAAAATAAGCCACAGACCACAGTTGCCAAATATAGATCAGGTGTTTCTCTCTTTCTCTGGGGTGAAGTGGGAAACTACTCATTTTATACATGTTGATTCTGGCCAGAAGCATGCCCAAAACATTTAGAATTTCCCGTCCAGAAACTTTGCTGTGTGTCACAGGGAGCACACCCAACATAGAAACATTTAAGGAATGTGCTGTTATTCTGTCTTTGCCATAGAGCATAGTACAATAGGAGCAACTAGATATAAGTTTATTATTTTTGTGTGATTTAGGTCTACATGGTCCCAGTAATTTTTCACTTCAATTGACACTTAATGACTGAACTTCTAAGTTCAGATGGGACAGTGCAGTAGTTAGAAATTATAACAATGCTCACTGAAATACACTGGTCCTCTCAGTTTAAAGGCATTTGTAAACTCAATGTTTTATCTTGATGGAAGAGAGTGGATTAACAGTTCTGTTCAGTCTCCTTATCGTGCGACAGCTCTCAAGTGAGAATGAATTTTTCAATAAGAAAGTAGTCATATCAGTTAATGGAAGAAAGGGGTTAGCAGAATGTCGTTGGGATTCAAACATAGATTTTTTTTCTTTTTAAGCTTCTAGACAATACTGAGAATGCCAGGACAATATATGAGGGCAAAGTAGAACTGTATGTATGGGAGATCAGTTAAAAAATCTTGTCAGGAACAAACAAGTGAAGTCAGAAGCATGGCTTTCCTATTGGCAATTACATAGGTTGAATACTATCTCCTTGGATACTGTCAGTCTGGCATGTGGACTATAATAACTGATATAAGGGTTGAATTTCTATTTTTAGGACTGAGTTAGGATTTTCAGATTTCTAAAGAGTCTCATGTCTCTATAAGAAGCTTCCTTTTGGTTGTCATGTTGGGTCTAAGACTCAGGTGAATAAAACAAATCATTGGTCCTGGTGTCTAGGGAGAAAACAGCAAATTAATAGGAAGAAATGTTATTGTAGAAGGCTTAAATTTAACACAGTAGGTTTTGATACTTAACTATACTAAAATTCAGCAGGATGTGACAAGGCCCTTCCAGTGAGGTTCAAGTGATGTCTTGCTTTACTCAACTCCAAGTGAACTCAATCATGTCTTGATGTCACAGTACTGTTTTTTTCAGCGCTACTGGTAGAGCTTCTAGTACTTGAGAGTGGAATATGTTCACACAATTTATTAGTATTTTGTAATAATAAAGCACAACATTATTTAGTGTTTAAGTGTTCTAGTGAGTGGTCCCTGGGAAAGTAATCAGAAGTATCATAGATCATCCATTAATGTAGTATGTGGAAAGTTCCCAGTGTTCTGTTAACTATATAGTTCTCTAGTTCTTAAGAGCTTTGATCACTTCAGTTCTGTTTCTTCACAGACTTTTATCAGATTATAGTTTTGGAACTCATGTTAATGTTCTGCTATCCACTGATATAGCCAATGAAGTCACTGATGAATGTGTAGGGCTTTACACACTTGCTTTGCAATCTGTTTTAAGTTGTATGCCCCAATAACTCCTTATAACAAGTATTTCAATCATGGCAATACAGTCATTTAAAAGTTTATTGCTAGTCATTATTTTTCACATCCTGAAAATGAGCAACAACTGCTAAATTACATTCATATGAGCATTTAAAAATACAAAGAAAATTGGTGGCCCCAAGAAGGATAAGCTGCCCTCTTTGTTTTTAGAGCTTTTTTATATCGAAGACTGAAAATAGAGCAGGTTTTATAATTTTGTTGAGCAATGCCAAAAACATTTGGAGCATACTAATCATGCTAAATATTCTTAGCATTCCTTTGTGTTTTTATGCCTGTGCCATGAATTACAGGAAAAAGATGAGGGAGAAAGTTCTTGTGTTTCTAAGTGGCTATCTGAGAAGTGTCAAAGATAATCTATATGTAAAATATTCCAAGCATTGCTTCTAAAAATCAATATCCTAAAGATTGTCTTTATCTCTAAATCAATCTATCATCTATATATAATGTTGATTTCCCTCTTTTTCTCTCCCTTTATATATGCATAAATATATATAAAATGAATATATGTGTATATATAAATGAATATATGTGTATCCATATGTATATTCAAAATAGTGCTGTGCTATTCCAAATAGGTTCTGATTTTGAAAGGTAACATCCAAATGGGTTGACAAAGTAGAATTGTTAGTTGCTAAAGATAAGTATAAAAGTTCCTGAGAATGAAAAATAGTTGGAGCTATTCAGAGGAGCCATGTTTTCTCACAGCCAAGCAGAAGCAAGGATTCCTTTCTGAAGCTAGTAAAGCTGAAGCATCAGGCTCTCGACCTTATCCCTGAGAGGAAAGCAACATAAAACTATGCTATTTTAGCTCTGCTAGAAGCAAGCAGTCCTCATTGTTTTTACAATTGGTCATTGTCATGAAGTATCATCAATGCACACTAAGGGCCAATGTGAATATTAACAGAGCTTTGAGAGTTTAGAGACAAGCTCTGGAAAGAATAACAGGTTCTGCCACCTGGCAACATGCACAGACAGCAAAGAGGAACTTTTATTAACTCATTCATTAACATTTACTAACTTATAGCCAGAGAACAATTTTTTTCCCCTTGAGAGCTACTGATTTTCTTTCTTACACAAAACATTTTAAATTAACTTTAATGTAATTTGAATTATACACACATATACAATATAGTAAGATGAAACTATTTTTAAATGATACTTTTTAATTTTTAACACAATTAATTTATCAAGCACCTTACAAGAAAACATTTATAATGCCTTGATTTCATTAGCTTGATTTGAATGTTATAAGAAATGAACATCTTTGTACATTAAAAATAATACACATAGGAATTACATGGTGGTTATTAATACCACTTTTTCCCCCTCATGTTTACTGTTTTAATTACTTTCTTCCTTGTGTTCTTTTAGTTTATTTTTGTTTTTTCCTTGGTTTTCATTCTGGCATTCATTTTTATTTTAAATTATTGCAAACATATACAGAAATTACTTGATAAGCACTAATCACATAGCTATGGAAATTAAAATATAGCATGCTTGGTATTTAAAATCTGAACTTTTATGTTACATTTTAACTGCCAATTCTGTCAGCACAGTTATTGATCTATGTATTGGCAATATTACTGTCTTTCTATCAGAATGAGTGTTAGAATTAAGTCCTATTTTTCTATTTATTAGTATCTAATATCTGTGTACATTAATTTTGAATACTACTATAGATACAAGTTCTCACAAAATAATAACATATAAAAATTTGTGCTCTTATTTATTAATCTTAAAGTAAAATTAAACTCTTCAAATTGTTAATAAATCATTAAAACATTTAAAAAATTAAGGTGAAGAATCCTAGATTTACAATTAAAAGTATATTCCTAAAGACATGATAAATCATGTCTCTTTATTATTGTTTTGTCATTATAGTAAATATTTTATTTTCCAGTTTTTATTTACTGATGAAACAGTATAATTGAGTGTTCATTTCTTATAAATCACTACATTTTTTATCCATGAGAGTGATAAGACTACTCAATGACTAGAAAATATCATTAATTCTTATATCTGAAAAACATCTCAAATATTACCTAAGGTTCAACCCTCTTATTTTAGGACTAAGACATTGAATTGAATGTTAATTTGTCTAAAGTCATCACAGAGCAAATTAATGACGAGGCAAGATTGGAAAGTGCAGCTTCTGGCACATCTGATCAACCCCACACTAGGGGTAGAAGTCAGAAAGCCTCCCTAATAGGCGAAATGGGACCTAGCTTATGAATGTTCAGATCAGGGCTCAGGACATTGGGCTGCCAGAGCACTGCCAGTCCCAGACACAAGACAAGGAATTAGGAAATTTATAAGAAGACCATCCAACGAAGGGGTGACATGCACAGGTCTGGGGTCAAGGCAAGGGCTCTGCTTGCCTGAATCTGAGAATACTATTGCTACCAGGGCACTTGGAGAGTTATCCATTTAAGCAAATCAAAGGAGGGAACAACTTGCTTTGTCTGGCAAAGGAGTAGAAAGGCTTCATGGAAGGTGTACAATTTGAGTAGGGTTTTCAGACATGAGTAGGGCTTTTGGAGCTTTCCAGTCAGAAGGGCTACATGTGCAAATTCTGGTTGTGTGAATGGACTTAGATTTGAGAAATAGTAAAAGTTAAATGTGGCAGGAATGTGGAGTGAGTCAGGGAGGGGTAGATGAAGACAGATGGGTGGGTGCTGAAGGGCTTCATATGCCAAGTTACATGACTGGGGGATGATGGGTAACACCATTCCTAGGAACAGGAGAGTTTGTGATAGAAACTATAAGCTAGAATGAAGGGTGTTGAGGGCATATGGTGGGGATGAGGTTGGAACAGTGGTAGGGTCCTGCTCTGAAATAGAAGGATCTGGTTTCTTATAGTAAAACAATTCTCATCATACTACATGTACTTAAAGGTCACCTTGAATGTGGAATAAACAAAATTTTGCATTTTGATTGAATTAGAAATAGCCAGAGTCAACTTCATTTGACTATTAGTCTGCTGAATTGTTTTTTTCTACCCAGAAAAGGAGAGGAAAAAATAGTGAGATAATTGACAAAGTAAATAACCAGCATATTTCATAAACTAGCAGTACTTCTTACAATAAACATGATTTATGACTCATACAATGCTCTAAAACATATTTATAAATTTTGAATTATAGCACAAGCTTTGGTGTTAAAGGTTTACATGCAAGATGGGGTAAAGACAGGTTGTTTTGTGTAAAAACAATTTGATATCAAGGGAGTCAGATTTTATTCTGATCATTAGTAAAACACAACAGAAAATATCTATAACTTAGGATAGATATGTTTGAATTTAATCTCACTCCAAACATTTGCCACAATTAAAGTTTCTTTTTGTTTACATCATTGGATTTTATTTATTCTGTATCAGACAGCTTATCAATTTTCAGCATAGTACTTGAATTAACAAATAATTATTAGCTCCAAGGAGAATATTTCTTCTCTGAGCAAACTTCTGGACTATTTTTTACTTTTAATCATGACTGCGGATGGTGAGACATATTATATGTAAATTATAAAGCATACACAATGTAAATTATAAAGCATAACAATAGCACAATTACCTAAAGCCATTCTCCCAGTGGGTGAAGGAGCCATTACTGATACAGTGTGAGGCTATTTGTGTATTTGTTCCCAATCACATCACCTTTCTCTTTACCTGAATAGTCAGTCACTACCCTAAATTTTTGTTTATCATTCTTATGTTTTAAAATAATCTATCATGTAACTATCCATAAGTAATTATTTAGTTTTGTTTTCAAATTTCATAAAAATATTAGCTTATTTTTCATATCACTTCTTTGTATCCAATATGATGATGTGTACAGCCATAGTTAATTCATTTTCACTGCTGTAAAGTATTCCCAGGCATGAATACAGATTATTATCTGTTCTTTATCCAGTGGAAATTTAAATTCAGTTAAATTTTCTGCTATTATACACAATGAAACCATGAAAATTCTAGTATGTCTCTTGAAGCACAAATACAGCATTGTCTCTAGGATATATCTAAAAATAGAATTACTGGGTTGTACAGTATGTGTATCTGTGGCTCTATCAGATAGTGCCAAATTGTTTTTCGAAGTAATTGCAAGAACCAATTTATATTCCCTACCAATAGTGTTCCTATTGCTTCACATCCCTACTAACACTTGCTATTGTCAAACTCTTTTCTTTTTGCCAGTTGGTAGATGTGTAATATCTTCTTATGTCTTTAATTTTTATTTCTTTACTTAAACTTTTTAAATTAAATTTATTTAGTTTAATGAAACTAAATAACTTTTAATTATTTATTGACCATTCGTGTTTCCACTTATGAAATACCTATTCAAATATATATACATATGCATGTGAATGTATATTAATGGTGTATATGCAAGCCATTTTTTCTATCAGGTTATTTACTTTTTTCTTATCTGTTTATAGTATTTATTTAAAAAGTACCCTCATAATATTAAGCCTTTATTAATTATATATATTATAAACATATTCTCATATTTTGTCTTTAGAATTTTCATTTTTTATGGTATTTTTTGATAAATATAAGTTATTATTTATATTTTCATTGATTCACTGATTCATAGATACATTCAACAAATGTTTATTGAATATTGGAGTATTTTGGAAAATAAAACAAATACCTGCCCTTATTAATTTTCTCAGGGGAATATAGACAATCAAGAGTATGTTTGAAGATATAGTGTTATGAGAAAAAAAATACAACAAAGATATTGGAAGCTGGATGGTGTGCACATAGGCCTCATTGAGAAAGTGACTTTTGAGCAAAACTTCAAAGAGGTAGAGTGTGTTAATTAGGAGATTACTAGGGGAATAGCATTTCTGGCTAAGGTAACAGTCAGTTCAAAGGTTATATGGTGTGTGTGTTCCAAGAAAAGCAAGGAGGCCAGTGTAGCTGGAGTAGACTAAATAAGGGAAAGAAAAGTAGGACAGGTCAGAAAAGTAACAGCAGCCAGAATGGATGTGAGCTTTTAGGCTATTGTAAGGACTTTGACTTTTATTTTTATTGATATAGGGCTAATTGATTGTAATGGCCCAGGTTTATTATGATCTTGGTAAGAAATAATGATGACTTGAATCAGTGATAGTAAAACCACCTTTGCAAAAATTATGAGAGTGAGAGAAATCTAACATAACTGACTCCATCTTACTTCTAACCTCACAGACTGATGCCCCTTACTGATTCCTAGGTGTAGGCCAAGCTAATTATTGGAGGAATGTAGTTTATAGTTTAACTTTAAAGCAAGGATGACATTGGCCTCTTCCCAAAACTACCTTCCTTTTTGTTTGGGGACCTTCATTGCTGTAAAAATAATGAAAGTTCACAAGGTTAGAACTGTGAGAGGGGTCTGAATTCTGCTGAGACCCATGCTTAGTTAAATAATAACTAGTCATGTTTCCTAACTTGCTTACTGCTCAGAAATCATATAAGCAGTGATGACAAGATTTGTAACTACCCTAATTTCCCTGATAGATAACATTGCTATTGTAAAACCTAAGGCTGCTGTTTGAGATATTTTCCAGGATTTGCATTCTGCTGGAACAATTGGCACCACTCAGAGCAGTGACCCTCAACCAGGAACTGACTCAGTGCACAAAGAGAGTTCCAATACTTTTATGATTTCATCCCCAACCAATCAGCAGCATCCATTCCCTAGGCCTTTGCTGGCCAAATTATCCTTAAAAAACCTAAGCCTCTTGTCTCTCAAAAAGGGAAATTTGAGAAATATCTTCCTTCCTACCGCTTGGCTGACTTGGGGTAATTTAACTCCTTCTCTGCTATAACACTTCTATCTCAGTGTATTGGCTTTATCTGTGTAATGGACAAGAAGAACTCTTTTGACTGTAACAGTAAGTATAAGTTATGAGAGGTCATTGGGTTCTGAATTTCTTTTTGTGAAGAGTTTGTGTAAGGAATGAGAGGAGGAAAGTCAATTGTAACTCTAAGAGTGACCAAGGTCTTTGGCTTAAGCAGTTTGAAGGATTGATGCATTAATTTATATGAGGATGATGATGGGTTGGGAAGGTTTTGGGAAAAGACTTAGGATTTTATTTTGGAAATGTTAAGTTTGATATATGTATCAGACTGTCAAATGCATATGTTGGATAGGCAGTTCCATATATGAATCTGGAATTTAGGAGAGCTGGTGATATGAATTTGGGAGTTGTAGGCAAAAAGTAGTATTTAAAGCTATAGAAAAATGATAAGATAATTAATGGAGTGAGTATAGATAAATAAAAGAAGACAAGCAAAAGACTGAATCCTGGGGCACAAGGTTAAGGGGCAAGGTAGACAGGAGATTTGTAAAAGAGCAGCCAGTGAATTATAAGGAAGTTCAATTCAATAGAATATCATAAAAAAGAGCCAATGAAAGGGCCAGTGATCAGTTGTGGCAAATGCTGCTGGTAAGTCAAAATGAATAATGAGGATTGAGCATTATATTAATCAATGTGAAAGTCATCAGTGATCTTGACAAGAGCAATATCAGGAGAGTGGCAGGTGGAGGTCTGATTCAAGAGGGCTAAAGAGAGAATGGAGGGAATCAGAGAAATGAGTACTGAAATCTCTTCCGTAGTTTTGTTGGGAAGAGGAGCAAATAAATGGGGGAGGAGGTTGGGAAAGTGGTATCATAAGCAGGTTTTAGTAGATGGAAAAAAATAATAGCATGCTTTCATGATTGTGGTAATAATCCCAAACAAACAAACAAACAAAAGAGATTCAGTAGAGAAAATAAAATTGTTAGAATAATATTGAATAGATGAGTAGAAATAGGAAGATATGGCTCATAAGTGGAAAAATTGGCTTTAGATAGATGCACAGGTAGTTATCTGCAGGAATAAGAAAGAAAGCATAGTACATGGCTGTAGATGTTGATGACATAGTTATGGTGGTGTGAACCTGGTGAACCTGGTTGCCATTTTACTGCTTCAAGTCTTATTAAGGTTGAAACCAAAGCCATAAGCTGAAAGTGAAGGTGGGAGAGGAGATATTATAGGTTTGAGGAGAGAAAAGTTGTAAAGTAGATATCTAGCAAACTTGGAGAGTTGATACCAGGGAAATGGAGCATGAATGCCTGGCATATTATTAATAATATCTTGAGAGGTTCATAATCATGAATTTAAAGTGAGATCCATCAGGATGGTTCTGTTTTTCATCAGCCACATTCTGGCTTATGAGTGCAGGTGTGGCAAAAGTGAAAAAATACATTTAAGCAGAATAGCTAGGTTAGCCAAAAGAGTATTTTAACTTGAGAGAGAGAAAAAGGAGTTGAGTTTGTATGCAAGGGAGATCGTATAATGATTCTCTATGGAATTTTAGCTGGATAAGAAAGGAAGAGAAGACCTAAGTGGTGATGGTGCATGCAAAATTGGTGGAATCACTGAGTTGAAGGTCCTAGTAGGGCTGAATAATAGATAGAACCAGGATAGGGAATAAGAAGGAAAGACAGGAAGAGATGGTTAGAGAGCCACATAGCATTGAGATAAGGGAGGGGCTGTAATTTTTAGTAATGATAATTTCTAAGGCATGATGATAGGATTGGAGTGGCTGCAGTATGATGGAGGACTAGCTAATTGGAGGAGAACAGTTCAAGAAACTGACAGCCTATATTAGATAAATTAATTAATCATATATACCATTCATCAAGAATTAAGGCAAGGATAGTGTTAGAGAAAGTGTCAGTAAGTCGGGAACTATATCATCAAGAAATGAAAGTGACATTGGGGCCAGGGTGAAGAATGATGCAGTCTGATGGCATAGGATTCAAAGTTGAGGATTTCAGAAAAAAGCAGAGCAAATAGTATGAAAGTATTAATAACGTGCAATGGAAATAGCTACCCTACCTCCAGTCCCCAAGATACAAAGGATGTGGGTAAAAAAATAACCACCATAAGAAAGGATGGCAGGAGTAGCAGTGGCCTGGAGGGAGAGCTAAGTTTTCCTCAAGAGAAGAGGGTAAAAGGAGTTTTAGAAATGAATTTGAAGATACAGGGGAATTTTTGAGGATGGACTAAAATGCCAGAGAACACAGAGGTACTTTTACAACTTAAAGAAAGTGAAAAATAGGTCAGAATAGGGGACACACGTAGACTTATGGGGATTAGAGTGAGGGAGATGGGTGATCTGAATCTGATTATTCTTGCAGTGAATGATATAAATGCAGATAAAGAATATAATAGAATTATTTTGATGAGGTGAAATTTTTTAGCCTTTTTTGTGATTGGAGCATTTTGTGTCTTGTGAAGGACCCCTAAATAAACACTAAAACATATCCCTCAATATTTTCTTCTATCATTAAGAAGCTCCATCTTTTTCATTTTTCTATACTAAGAGGTAGTTATCTATTTTCATTTTCATTTCATATTAATAAGTAATTGACCCAATATAATTTCATGAATTATCTATCTTTAACAAATGATTTTAGTGTTTTTGATGTGTGTGGGCTGTCTTCTTGTGCTCACTGCTTCAGCCTATTGATCTATTTGTCTTTCCTTGCACCAATATCATACTGTCTTAACTACCTTTGCTTTGTAATAAGTCTTCATATCTGATAATGCCAGTCCCCTTCTCCCCCAACCCACTCCTTTTCTTCTTCTCCTTCTTCATCTCCTTCTCCTTTTTCTTCTTCTTTTATTTTAAATTGAGGAGTCTTTTTATAGTTTTTATCCCTTTAATCTTCAATATAAAGTATTAAATTATTGAAACAAACTGTCAAGTTTCATAAAATAGCCTCTTGGGAATTTGTGTATAATTCATTAAATCTATAGACCACTTTAAAAGGATTGACATTTTTACAAAAATGAGCTATTTATCATGGAGCACTTAAAATGCTAATAGGAATATTTTTCACTCTATAAGTACTTTTGGATTATTTTTTAAAGATTTTTGATATTCTTTCCTCTTGTTCATGTTTTGATTTTCTCCTTTATTAAATACATTAAACACATTTATTTGCACTTGAATTTTTAATTATAGGACATTTTAAATATACACCAAAGGAGAGACAGTATGTGAAACTCTCTTAAATCCATCATCCTGCTTAAACATTACTCAAATCAAAGTCAATTTTGCCTGATTAATCATCCACCCTTACTCTGTTATTTGGAGGCAAACTCCAGATATCTTATAATTTCATTTGTAAGCACTTCATTATTATTTCCATAAGATAAGAACTTTAAAGCATAACTATTTTTAAAATTCTATTTTTCTAATTTTTAATTGATATATAATAATTGTACATTTTATGGGGTACATGTGATGTATTTATACATGTATACAATGTGTAATGATTAAATCAAGGTAACTGGGATATCCATCACCTTAAACATTTATCATTTCTTTGTTTTACAACATTTCAAAATTCTTTCTTGTAGCCATTTTGGAATATATAATAAATTATTGTTAATCATATACACTCTGCTGTGCTATAGAACAGTAGAACTTATTCCTCCTATCTGTGGTTTTGTACCTATTAACCAACCTCTTCCTATCTCTCCCTCCCCCATCCTTCCCAGGCTGTTCTAATCTCTACTTCTATAAGATCAACTATTTTAGCTTCCACATATAAAGGAGAACAGGTGGTGTTTGTTTTTCTGTGCCTGGCTATTTCACTTAACATAATGTCCTTCAGGCTCATCCATGTTCCTACACATTACAGGATTTCATTCTTTTTTGTGGCTGAATATTATTTCATTGTATATATGTATACATACCACATTTTCTTTATTCATTTATCTGTTGATGGACAGTTAGGTTGATTCTATGTCTTGGCCTTTGAGAGTAGTGCTGCAATAAACATTCAAGTCCAGATATCTCTTCAACATACTGATTTCCTTTCCTTTGGATATATGCCCCAGTAGTTGGATTGCTAAATCATGTAGTATTTCTATTTTTAATTTCTTGAGGAAACTCCATAATGTTTCCCATAATGGCTACACTAATTTATGTTCCTACTAACACTGCATAAGACTTCCATTTTCTCCACATTCTTGCCAGCATATTTTTTTTTGTCATTTTAATAATTGCCATTTTAACTGGAGTAAGATGATATCTTACTGTGGTTTTAATTTTCATTTCTCTGATAGTGATGTTAAGAATTTTTTCGTGTATTTCTTGGCCATTTGTATGTCTTCTTTTGAGAAACATCTATTACTGTCCTTTGTCGACTTTTTATTTTAAAGCATAAGTATTTAAAATACCCTTAATATCATATGATATCCAACCAAAGTTCAAATCCCAAATTGTTTTATAATTTTTTAACTGTTTTTTTGAATCATGATCCAAACACGGACATGTTACATTTGTTTGACATATCTCTGAATTATAGGCTGAATTATGTTTTCCCCAAATTTGTAGGTTGAAGCCTTCACCCCTAGTCTCCCACATATGACTGTATTGGAAGTTAGGCCCTCAAAGGTGACACTGCCACCCACAGTGGATGGGGTTGGGCCAACACTCTGCTAGGCCTGGAGGACAGGGCATGGAGCCAAAGAGGATTATTCATGAGCTTTAAAATCTGATGGAGTTCCCCTTCCAGGTTTTGGACTTGCTTGGACCTGTGATCCCTGTCTTCTTTTTTATTTCTCTTTTGAAGTGGGAATGTCTATCTTATGACTGTTACACCATTGTATTTTGGAAGCAGATAACTTGTCTGGTTTCACAGGTTCACGGATGGAGAGAAATTTTTCCTCAAGATGAATCATACATCGAGTCTCACCCACACTTGATTTATATAATATTTAGATGAGATTTTGGACTTAGAGTGGATACCGGAATGAGTTAAGGCTTTGGGACTGGTGGGATGGCAGTGAATGTGTTTTGCATGTGAGAAGAACATGAATTTTTGTGGTCAAGAGAACAAAATGTTATAGGTTGAGTCATGTCTTCCCAGAATTTACATATTGAAGCTCTAACCTCCAGTAGTAGCTCAGAATGTGACTATATTTGGAAATAGGAACTTTAAGGAGGTGATTATATTAAAATGAGCCTCTTCAGGATTGGGGTCTAATCCAGTCTGTTGTCCTTACAAGAAAAGGAAATTTGGACATGGAGAAACACCAGGGGGTGCATGCCCACAAAGGGGAGACCATGTGAGGACATAGCGAGAAGGCAGACATTTGCAAGCCAAGGAGAGAAAGCTGAGAAAGAACCCAACCTGACAAAATAAATTTTTGTTGTTTAAGCCAAGCAGTCTGCAGTATTTTGTTATTGTAGCCCTAGCAGGCTGATATAGTCTCTTAACTCTCTTTAATTATATATGCTATTTTCCCATGTTTTTTTCCTTATAATTTAAAGTGGAAATCAGGTCATTTATTCTGTAGAGTCTTCCACTGTCTAGGATTTGCTGATTTTATCACTAATGTATCATTTTACATGTTTCTTTGCCTGTAAACTAATAGTTGGATATAGAAGCTTGATCAGATTCATATTCAATATCTGGCAAGAATACTCTACAGATAGTGAGTCTTGTGTACTTTCATCAAGAGGCTCATTATGCCTATCTGTCTCTTTTTGTCATGAGACTGATTAGTCTGTTTAAGTGGTTTTGGCCTGATCATTCCATTTTAAAGTTTTCCATGGTCTTTTTGTGTAGTGATTTTAACGATCATTGATAATCATTGCATGGATTCATTATTTTATTAGAGGGTTGCCAAATGGTGATATTTAAAGTTTTTTAGTCCTTCTTCATTCATTGAATGAAATATTTTCTTTAAGATACACTTCCTGTAACTCTTTGGTTACCCTGAGAAACAATTTGCTTTCTAGAATAAATGGTTGACTTTTCCCCCTTTGCTTATTAATTTTCAGTATAATATATTGGTTTCCTAGAATCCTCCAAGGGCAACCTATGAGTTTTTCTTTCAGTATCATTTTGAACTGACACATTTTAACTATTTGATATTTCAATTCATTGAAGTTATTATTCTTATACTCAAATTGTGTTATCTTTGGCTAATGGGGGGTCTCTTCAGTTCTTTCCTGAGTCTTTTGGACATGACTACAGTTTTCTTTAATAGCCGTATTGTTTTCTGATATGACAAGGTGTTCCAAATTCAACATCTACGCTTTCTTTCCCAGACCTGGTTCAGCCAATTCTCCAAGTAGCCCTCATTTCTCTCTTAGTGGAAGATAATATCTAGAGATCATAATCTGTTTGCTAATTGTAAACAGTTACTTTGCATTATATATCTATTGACACCTACACTTAAAATCTTTCTGAACTTTTTTTTTAAATGATGACTTACTGTAGTACTTTGTCTCCTTGTGTGTTTTATAGCTTTTCATTGTTAGATCATACTTGCAAATATATCTGTGGGAATCTTTTGTTGCCTGGGTTGAAAGTGAGTGTGTTTCTCTGAAAGAGATGTGCATTTGGGATGCTGCAGATTGGGTTAACCATAAAATAATTTTTTTTTTTTTTGCCTCACGCAAATAGTATAAATTTAAGCCATAAACTCACAGGAGGAACCAAATAGTGCTTATGGAGACTCATGGAAAATGATTTTATTTTCCTCTTCTCAGAACCAAGGCTAAGATATAAAAGTATTTTTGCTATTTCTGAAGTTTGCTTTTGTCTTTTTGATCGCCTCTTCTCTGAGACTTGGGTAAATCTTTATGAAATTTTTGTGATCAAATTTCTCACTATATTTTGCCTCTTTGGATTCATGTTCTCTCTCTTTTTTCTGGACTTAAAGGATTTCATTTAATTTTTTATACATTAGTCAATTCATTTACTAGTACTTTTATGAATTTTTTCATCACAGGAATTTTTTCATCATTTCAGGATTTTTCATTGATAATATTGCCAAATACTGAAATGCTCCAAAATTCACATAATGTTTATGCTTTGTCTTCTCAGGAAACTTATTATTTCTGGATAAAAGGTTAAAATGTAGATTACAGGACTCAGACTCAAGGAGTTTGATTTTGCTGGCCTGGACTGGTGCCAAGAATATAAATTTTTTTTTCAGTAAAGAAGTTCTGATATAGTTATTCTGGGAATCACACTTTGCAAGACACTGTGCTAGAAGTTTGTATTTTTTATTGTATAGGCAACAGAGAAATAACAATTGTTATCAGTCAGTAATATAAAGTCATCAGTTTTAAGATTACTCTGTTAGTAATGTAAAGTTGGAGAAACAGGTGGTTAGAAGACTAGTTAGGAGGCTGTCTCAGTGAAAGATGAGACATACACACACACGCACATGCACATAGCAAGCAAGAGAGACAGAGAAACAATTTCTGAGGTAAAATGGACATGATTTGATTTTGTGATTGAGTGAATATTGAGCATGAGAGAGAGGAGTCAATGATGACTCTGAGGATTAGTCCTTTTCTATTTTGAAAGGTATCTGATTTCAGGAAGATGAATTCTGCTCAGAGCTCAACTTTTCTATGTTTAGAATTTTTTCTTAGGAAATATACTTGAATATGCAATGAAAACTTCCTTATGACATTTTCTAAAAGAGTATGAAACACACACATGCGCATGCAGTAGGAAGATACTTTATGCCCTTGTGTATACTCTAAACTTGATATTTAGAAGGTAAATGTTATACAACAGCATTATAAGTGTTTTCCCTTTTGGCATTTGGGAGAACCACAGCAGACCTTTCTTTAAAAAAGCAGAATCAGAAAAAGTCACACAAAACCAAATGTCAAAGGAGATCAAAAGCTTAGAAGCTCTGTGACTCTGGCTCATGGGATAAAATCAGGACGATTTTCTGACAGTTCCCAAATAGAAGAACGAAAGAGAAATACAGTTCCAAATACAGTACACCTGAGTAGTAAGCCCTAAAACACAGGCAATCAGTTGTGACACTTTTTGCTCTAAATCTCATTCTTTAGGGTGTTGAAAGCCAGTCTTACTTACCTATGGTATTATTTGATCACTTGCTCTAGGTGAGCCTTCCAATACAGGGATACGTTTGAGGCAGCACAAAAAATACATGCTAGCAGTCACATCACAGTTGTGGTCTTTCTGCCTTGAAAAGCACACTGATTTTAAAAAGCATTATTAGAAGTCTTAATTACAATCTTTTCTGAAGTTTACAAACAAACTTGATGCATTGTTATCCCCTTCACCTTTATTTCCTGAAACATGTTTTCCATGAGACTTTCTGTAATCACGCTTCATTTCAATAGCTTACAAATCCATAGAAGAGAAAAGTCCCTTATGAGGGAGTCTGAAATTACACCATGTGATGAAACTCGCAACACTTTATTTTTCATAGAAAATCATATTACGTGAGATTCAGAGAAATAGACATAAATTTTCTAGTCCATCTTTTAAAAAAAAGAGATTTTTAGTTAGTTAACAGGTAAGTTTCAGCCTAAAATTTCAACGTAAGTTCTTTTTAAAAGTTGGCAATAAGCAAATATTTTCTATTTTTTCCCAAGTATTTAGCCAATCTATTTATACATTTTCCATTTTGAGGAAAGACCTATAACTCTCTCTGATATGCTTTATTTAAACTTGCTAGCTCAGAGGAGCCCTCAAGTACTGAAATTCCAATGAGGTTCTTCAACGATGAGAATTCCATGAAAGACTACATTGCTGCCAGAAGGAAACCTCACTTGGCAATGATTTTACAGTGGATGTGGGTTTCTAACAATGGGAAGTTCACAACTGCATTGAGTTGGCTGGGGTTTTGGAGATAGGCATGGGTGTTGTTCCTTGTGGGACCATGTAATCTCTCTCTGCCTTGATTTACTTATGTGTAAAATAGAGAGTAAAAATAACTATCTCATAATGTTCTCTTCAAGATTGAAGGGGATTATCTTTGTAATATTCTTAGTGCATAGTAGACTTTCAATAAAATATAGCTTCCATATATTAAGTACTTTTCATAGTGCAATTACAAACTTGTAATAAAGAGTTTATTTTTGGCTCTTGAGGTAATCATGTTCAAAATTAGTGTTGAATGGTTTTAAAAATCAAGACATTAGTAGCTCTATCATTGCTGGTGATTGCTTTTCTCTGGGGAGCCAGTGGGTAAACCCACTGCCTTTAAAGAGCAGTAGTCCCTCTCCAAAGTGTCTCATGGTTGTTGGTTTTTGATAGGTGCTTTGAATCATGGAATTTCAGAGCAGTAAGTAATGTAAGGCTTATAGTTCCATTTAACCTCCCTCCTCTTCAGCATTTTTTTTTTTTTTGCAATTTTTCGCATGAGAATCCTGAAGCACACATTAAGAGAAGAAAGCAGCATAAATTTTGGAATCATACCTGAGTTTGTTTCCCAATCTGTCATTAACTAGTTGCATATCATTGGTTAATAACTTTATTTTTCTGAGACTATTTATTATTATTATTTTTCCTTATTTTTTATCCAAACAACAGGCAGATAGTTATAAAGAATATATAAGAAACTTAGGAGAGGGTCTGATGTTGTAGGGTTTAATGTTAATCTCAAGAAATTTACCCAAAATCACAGTCCTAGTGATGTCAGAGAACTTTTGCTGTAACCCAGAAATCCTTATTCCAAGTCCAGCATTTCTTCCGTAGACTTTTAGGGAAGACATTATGGGCAACAAGGTTGGCTTTATAACAAAAGCATGTATAAAGTGGTGTCAGATCACAGAAGAATGAATGTCTCACAGTTCCATAAATAAATGTAAAAGACAAATAACAGATGAGGAGAGGATATTTTTAATCCATATAATCAATAAAAATTAGTATCCCTTAAAAATCCTTCAATAAATCAATAAGAAAAGGACAACTTGTTAGATAAATGGATCAAGACTTTGACTGGAACCTTTGGAAAGAAGAAAGCCTGGTAAAGTACAATTTTATAATAGGACTTGCAGGGTCAAAGTATTACTGAGTTTAGTGAGACAGCTCCTTTTTTCCCACTCTATTTTCTGTAGCCCCAACACCTCTGCTGTCTCATTGCCAGCCAATAGAAGGATCTAATGTAGTACCTCTGTATTAGTCTGTTTTCATGCAGTTAATAAAGACGTACCCGAGACTGGGTAATTTATACAGGAAAAAGGGTTTATTGGACTTACAATTCCATGTGGCTGGGGAAGCCTCACAATCACGGCAGAAGGCAAAGAGGAGCAAGTCACATCTTACATGGATGGCAGCAGGCAAAGAGAGAGCTTGTTCATGGAAACTCTGCCTTATAAAACCATCAGATGTCATGAGACTTATTCACTATCACAAGAACAGTTCAGGAAAGACCTGCCCTCATGATTCAATTACCTTCCACCAGGTCCCTCCCACAACATGTGGAAATTCAAGATGAGATTTGGGTGGGAACATAGCCAAACCATATCAACCTCTTTAATAAATATTTGTTGAATAAATAAATGAATACATGGACGAACGTTTCTTCAGCCTTTACTGCCTGGTGCAAGTTGAGTGGGAATTCTGCCTCTAGTGCATCCTTGTTGCCAAGAGAGACGCAGTTCTGCTGCTGCCACCAGATGCATTTCTCTGCCAATGTGTTGGTGCAGGCTAATGGAAATGCACTGCTGCTCCTACATCTTCCTTGTGGATCTTCATCCTCCTTCCCCATGCTTTTCAAAAAATGAGATGACTACTTCTCTCTTCTATATTATTTATTCTCTGCTTGGCTGGGGGCAGTAGAATGGGTTGAATTCTCACAGCAAGATTACTTGGTTCCTAAATTTTTTTTTAGCAATTATTGTGACAGCTCTTTCAATGAATATCTATGGTTCTATTACTCTCCAGAGAGCACACACACCTCCATAGTGTCTTCAAAAGGATTGGGTTGGATAAGAACAGCAGCCATGCTCAGCCTTGGTCTACCTCTTCCTTCTGACCTTTATGCATTGTTTATAAGTCAGGTTCACTGTGACACATTCATTCTTTCCTTCTGATGAATTTTCTTTCAGGGGCTTTATAATCTTCCCTTCCAACTGGCTTCTGTCAATACCAGCATCTCAGTCTGTTGGACACATCTTGGACAAGTTTGTATTATTCAGGATTCAAGCTTTCTCTCTGAAGTCTCTTCATCTTTTATGTAAACAACTATAGCCAAATGGGAACATAGGTAAAACTATAGCCTCACTCCATTCACTGAATATTTCTGAGCCTCAGCTCTAGATGAGATAATAATAACTACTGGCAGAGTTGTGAGAATTAGCGAGATAACATAACACCAGGCATATGGTAGGTAGGCTTCTCAGTAAATGGAAACCATATCATCAGGGTCTGTGAACAGATTTTCTAGAGCTAAATAGGGTACTCAGTGTTAGAAAAAAAAATGAGAATTATGGCAGACTATCAAGGCAAGTCACAGAGAAAAAATAATGGATTACAAAGAAAGAGTGGAATAGTATTAAGAAAGCAAACATGAAGCTGTTAGAATTTGGTTGTAAGGCCAGTATAGGACCACTTGTTAGATAATTCACTGCTGAATCTACTAAATATTGAGCTAGAGTTCTTTACCATCTTGATTCAGGGACAATGTGTCACATCCACCAGTCAGGATACTGTTCTTTTTGCCCACTTGGTGGTATATGAGCCGTTCCTATATCTCTATTATACTGTTTGTTTTCTTGGACCACTTCTGGTGCCATTTTTGTTAGGCTGAGGTCTATGAGAATCAGACTCCAAGACAGGATTAGACATGCAAGTTATGTATGAGGGGAAATACCTGTGAGGAAAAATGGGAAGTTAGAGGAGGCCAGGAGAGCCATCAGAGTTGGATGACAGTCTTACACTTGCAAAGAAGAGAGGGAAGGTTGGATGGAAAAAACTTAGACAGCATGCAATTATAGAAAGATTAAAAGGTTGATGCTGACTTCTTGAGACAAACCTTCTCCTTCAGAGGAGGACTGCATTTTCCAGAATAGACCTGACTCGGTATCCTCACCACCCTTGATTATGACCTCATTGCACATGCAGTGATGGATTTCAAAGTAAGAACGCTAGGGTTTTCAGTCCATTATTTTCTCCACAGTCAAATATATAAAAAATTCAATTGATACCATAGTGTGTATCAAAATTGATCTTCTGGCTAGGTGCAGCAGCTCACGCCTGTGATCCTAGCAGTTTGGGAGGCTGAGGAAGGAGGATTACTTGAGCCCATGAGTTTGAGACGAGCTTAGGCAACATAGTGAGACCCTATCTCTACAAAAAAAATTAAAAAAAAATAGCCACCTGTGATGATGCACACCTGTGGTCCCAGCTACTCAGGAGACTGAGCAAGGAAGATTGCTTAAGCCTGGGAGGTGGAGGCTGCAGATAGCCGTGATAGTGCCACTGTACTCCAGCCTGGGGGAATCTAGGGGAAGAGCTAAACCTTCTCTCCCAAAACGAAAAAACACCAAAAAAGAACAACAAAGAAACAAACAAAAACCAATGGAAACAAAACAAAAAAGCTAGGTGTTCCTATTGTTCTTGTCTTGTTTAGAAGTAGAGGAAATAGTAACGTATATCTTTAAGTGTACATATTTAAATGTTTTAAAATAACTAGTAAAACAGGAAAGGGACAAATTTTAAAAATGCAAAAGAATATAAGAAGGAAAGAAACAGGAAACAAACAGAAACCTCAGTAAATACGACAAATAATAAGCACATAAAAGATAGGACACACAAATAAAAAATTAGTAATCCAAATAAATTGAAATGGAATAATTTCTCCAACTGAAAGGCAAAATTTGCCAGATAGGAAAACAAACACAAATTGAGACTATATGCTTTCATGAGCATCACACCTAAAACATAAAGATATAAAAAAAGTAAAAGAATGTTGTGTTAGTTTGTTTTCATTCTGCTGATAAAGACATACCTGAGACTGGGAAATTTACAAAAGAAAGAGGTGTAATTGGACTTACAGTTTCACGTGGTTGGGGAAGCCTCACAATTATGGTGGAAGGCAAGGAGGAGCAAGTCACATCTTACATGGATGGTGGCAGGCAAAGAGACAGAATGAAAGCCAAGTGAAATGGATTTCCCCTTATCAAACTATCAGATCTCATGAGTCTTATTTACTACCACAAGAACAGCATGGGGTAAACTGCCTCCATGATCCAACCATCTCCTTCTGGGTCCCTCCCACAACACATGGAATTATGGGGGTACAAATCAAGATGAGGTTTGGAGGGGGACACAGAGCCAACCCATATAATTCTCCCCCGACCCCTCCCAAATCTCATGTCCTCACATTTCATAACCAATCATGCCTTCCCAACAGTCCCCCAAAATCTTAACTCATTTCAAAAGTCAACAGTTGCAAGTCTCATCTGGGACAAAGCAAGTCCCTTCCACCTATAAGCCTGTAAAATCAAAAGCAAGTTAGTTACTTCCTAGAAACAATGGGGGGTACAGAAATTGGATGAATACAGCCATTCCAAGTGGGAGGAAGTGGTGAAAACAAAGGGGCTACAGGCCCCATGCAAGTCCAAATTCCAGCAGGGCAGTAAAATCTTGAAGCTCCAAAATGATCTTCTCTGACTCCAAGTCTCATATCCAGGTCACACTGATGCAAGTGGTGGGTTCTCACTGTCTTGGGCAGCTCTTTTCTGTGGCTTTGTAGGGCATAGCCTCCCTCCTGGCTGCTTTCATGGGCTGGCATTGAGTGGCTGTGGCTTTTTCAGGCACATGGTGCAAACTGTTTGTGGATCTACCATTCTGGGGTCTGGAGAATGGTGGCCCTTTTCTCACAGCTCCACTAGGTGGTACTCCAGTAGGGACTGTGTGGGGGTTTTGACCCCACATTTTCCTTCTGCACTGCCCTAGCAGAGATTCCCCATGAACACCCCACCCCTGCAGCAAATTTCTGCCTGGGCATTCAGGCATTTCCATACATCTTCTGAAATCTAGGCAGAGGTTCCCAAACCCCAATTCTTGACTTCTGTGCACTTGTAGGCCCAACACCACATAAAAGCTGCCAAGGCTTGGGGCTTGTATTCTCTGAAGCCATGGCCCAAACACTACATTGGCCCCTTTCATCCATGGCTAGAGAGGCTGGGATGCAGAGCACCAAGTCCCTAGGGTGCACACAGCATGGGGAGCCTGGGCCAGGCCCACAAAACCATTTTTCCATGCTAGATCTCAAGGCCTGTGAGGGGAGGGTCTGCTGTGAAGACCTCAGTCATGGCCTGGAAACATTTTCTCCATTGTCTTGGGGATTAACATTCAGCTCCTCATTACCTATGCAAATTTCTGAAGCTGGCTTGAATTTCTCCTCAGAAAATGGGTTTTTCTTTTCTATCTCATTGTCAGGCCGCAAATTTTCCAAACTTTTATGCTCTGCTTTCCTTATAAAACTGAATGCCTTTAACAGCACCTAAGTGACTTCTTGAATGCTTTGCTGCTTAGAAATTTCTTTTGCAGATATGCTAAATCATCTTCCTTAAGTTCAAAGTTCCAAAAATCTCTAGGGCAGGGGCAAAATGCCACCAGTCTCTTTGCTAAAAGATAACAAGAGTCACCTTTTCTCCAGTTCCCAACAAGTTCCTCATCTCCGTCTGAGGCCACCTCAGCCTAGATTTCATTGTCCATATCATTATCTGCACTTTGGTAAAAGCCATTCCACAAGTCTCTAAGGAGTTCCAAACTTTTCCACATTTTCCTGTCTTCTTCTGATCCCTTCAAACTGTTCCAACCTCTGCCTGTTACCCAGTTCCAAAGTCACTTCCACATTTTGGGGTATCTTTTCAGCAGTGCCCCACTCTACTGGTACCAATTTACTGTGTTAATTTGTTTTCATGCTTCTGATAGAGACATACCTGAGACTGGGCAATTTACAAAAGAAAGAGGTTTAATTGGAATTACAGTTCCATATGGCTGGGGAAGCCTCATAATCATGGTGGAAGGCAAGGAGGAGCAAGTCACATCTTATGTGGATGGTGGCAGGCACAGAGACAGAATGAAAGCCAAGCAAAACAGGTTTCCCTTATTAAACCATCAGATCTTGTGAGACTTATTTACCACAAGAACAGCATGGGGGAAAACTGCCTCCAGGATCCAACCATCTCCCACCGGGTCCCTCTCACAACACATGAGAATTACGGGAGTACAATGCAAGATGAGGTTTCGGTGGGGACACATTGTCAAATCATATCAAATGGAACTATATATAAGACAAACATAAACAAAAAGATAAGACTTAATTGTATTAAAACTAGATGAGTTCAAGGCAAAATGTATCCTTAGCAATAAATGGTTCAACTTCTTAGGAAGGTATAATTCTTAACTCCTTTGTACATAAGAACACATATTCAAAATAAATAAAACAAAACTTTATAGTCTTCAAGGGAGAAATTAATTTATTCATTATGTTAGAGGAAGGTTATGACATGCTCTCTCAATATATGAGTTCAGGCAAAAATATATAAGTAACGATAGACAGTATTTTAGCATGAATCAGAATCTTGACCTAGTGAACATATATGGAATATTGGAATAATTGAAAGCTTTTTATGTACATATGGAACTTTTAGGAAAATTGACTTGAACTAAGCCATAAAGCATGCTTCATTAAAGTTCTTTTTAAAAGTAGAATTATTTTGTAAGCTGACATAATAATTATACACATTTATGAAGTATGTAGTGATGTTTTCATACATACAATACATAGTGATCAGATCAGGGTAACTAGCATATCAATCATCTCAAACGTTTATCATTTTTTGTGTAGGGAACACTTGAAACTATATAATATCTTATTGTCAACCATTGTCATCCTGTAGTGGTATAGAACTCTAGACCTTATTCTTCCTGATTAGCTGCAATTTTGTGTCCTTTAACAAATCTCTTCCTATCTCTCCTTTCACCTTACCCTTCCCAGACTCCAATATCCTCTGTTCTAGTTTTCACTTCTATGAGATCAACTGTTTTTTAGCTTCCACATCTTACTGAGAATATGTGGTGTTTAACTTTCTGTTTCCAGCTTATTTCACTCAACATAATGTCCACCAGTTCTATCCATACTACTGTGAATGACAGGATTTTATTCTTCTTAATAAGGAAATAATTTTCCATTGTGTATATATACCACATTTTCTTTATCCATTTATTTATTGTTAGAAACCTAGGTTGATCCCATACTTGGCTATTGTAAATAGTTCTGAAATAAACATGGGGTCACAGATGTCTCTTCAATTTACTGATTTCCTTTCCTTTGGATAAATGTCCAGTAGTGGGATTCCTAGATCATATGATGGTTCTATTTGTAGTTTTTTGAGAAACTTCCATACTGTTCTCCATAGTGGTTGTAATGGTTTACATTTCCACCAATGGTAAAATAGAGTTCCCTTTTCTTCTAATATTAACCAGCATTTTTTTGTCTTTTTGATAACAGCCATCCTCACTGGGGTGAGATGATACCTCACTGTCATTTTGATTTGCATTTCCCTTATGATTAGTGATGTTGAACGTATTTTCATACATTTTTTAGCCATTTGTATGTCTTATTTTGAAAAACGTCTGTTCTGATCTGTTGCTTATTTTTAAAGTAGAGTGTTTGTTTGTTTGTTGCTGAGATGTTTGAGTCCTGTGTATATTCTGAATATAAACCTCTGTCAAGTGAATAGTGTAGGTTACTCCCATCGTGTAGGGTGTCTTTTCAGTCTGTTGATTGTTTCCTTTGGTAGGCAAAAGGTCTTTAGTTTGATATAATCCTTTTTGTTTATTTTTGCTTTTGTTGCCTATGCTTTTGAGGTCTTATTCATAAAGTCCTTTCCCAGACAAATGTCACAAGCATTTTCCCTATGTTTCTTCTAGTGGTTTTATAGTTTTGGTTCTTACACATATGTCTTTGATCCATTTAGAGGTAATTTTTGTATAAAGTGAGGAGTGGGGGCCCAGTTTCATTCTTCTGTATATGGATATTCAGTTTCCCCAGCATCATTTCTTAAAGAGGCTGTCCTTTCCCCAATGAGTGTTCTTGGTGCTTTTGTCAAAAATCAGTTAGCTGTACATATATGGGTTAATTTATGGGTTCTCCATTCTGTTCCATTCATCTATGAATGTTTTTATGCCAGTATCATGCTGTTTTGGTGACTATAGCTTTGTAGTATATTTTGAAATCTATATTTTGAAAAATAGTGTGATGCCTCTAGCTTTATTCTTTTTGCTCAGGATTGCTTTGGCTATTCAGGGTCTTTCATAGTTCCATATAAATTAAACCCTTTTTTTTCTATTTCTATGAAGAATGTCATTGATATTTTGATAAGCATTGCATTGAATCAGTAGATTTCTTTGGGTAGTATTGTTATTTTAACAATATAAATTCTTCTGATTCATGGGTGTGAGATGTCTTTCCATTTGTTTGTATCCTCTTTAATTCTTTTATTTGCATTTTGTAGTTTCCTTGTAGTGGTATTTCACTGCTTTGGTTAAATTTATTCCTAGGTATTTTATTTTATTTTGTGTCACTATCATAAATGGGATTTCTGTGTTGATTTCTTCCCTCAGGTAGTTTGTTGTTTATATATAGAAATGCTACTGATTTTTGTAGGTTGATTTTGTATACTGCGACTTTACTGAATTTGCTTATCAGCTTTAAGAGGGGTTTTTTTTTTTTGGTACAGTCTTTCGATTTTTCTGTATATGAGATCACATCATCTGCAAACAGGGTCAATTTGACTTCCTACTTCCTAATTTATAAGCCCTTTCTTTCTTTCTTTTTCTTAATTAGGATTAAGATTTAATTAGGATTTCTAGTACTATATTGAATAAGAGTGATGAGAGTAGGCATACTTATCTTGTTCCAGTTCTTAGAGAAAATTGTTTCAGCTTTTCCTCATTCAGTATGATGTTAGCTGTTGGTTTGTCATATATGGCTTATGTTGTGTTGAGGTACTTTCCTTCTATAATCAATTTATTGAGAGCTTTTATCATGAAGAGATGTTAAAGTTAATTGAATGCTTTTTATGCATCTATTAAGATAATATATTTTTTGTTCCTCATTCTATTGATATGATGTATCATTTTTATTGATTTGCATATATGTTAAACCATCCTTGAATTCCTTGGATAAATTCTACTTGATCATGCTATATTATCTTTTCAATGCATTGTTGGATTTGGTTTACTAGTATTTTGTTAAGGATTTTTGCATCTGTGTTCATAAGGGATATTGAACTGTGTTTTTTGTTATTGTTGTTGTGTCCTTGTCTGGTTTTGTTATCAGGATTATGCTGTCCTCATAGAATAAGTTAGAGAGAGTTACCCTCACCTCAGTTTTTTAGAAGCACATTCTAATTGTAATAAAACAATCAACTCAGCAAGAGAGCATAACAATTGTAAACACAGCTTAACCCAACACTGGAGCACCGAGATATATAAAGCAAATGTTATTTAATCTAAAGGGAGAGGCAGACCACAATACAATAATAGTTGGGGACTTCAACGTCTGAGTCTCAGCATTGGACAGATCATCTGTACAGAAAATCAACAAAGAAATATTTCATTTTAACTGCACTATAGCCCAAATGAACTTAACAGACATTAACAGAACATTTTGTCCAACAGCTGCAGAATACACATACTTTTCATCAGCTTGTGGAACATTCTCCAGCATTGACTATATGTTAGGACACAAAACAAGCCTGAAAAACTTTAAAAATATTGAAGTAATATCAAGCATCTTATCTGAACACATGGAATAAACCTAGAAATCAAGAGCAAGTGGAACATTAGAAACTATACAAGGTCAGGTGTGGTGGCTCATGCCTATAATTCCAGCACTTTGGGAGGCTGAGGCAGGCAGGTCACCTGAAGTCAGGGGTTCAAGACTAGTCTGGCAAACATGGTGAAACCCCGTCTCAACTAAAAATACAAAAAAATTAGCTAGGTGTGGTAGCAGGCACATGTAATCCCAACTACTCAGGAGGCTAAGGCAGGAGAATCACTTGAATCCAGCAGGCAGAGATTTCAGTGAGCTGAGATCATGCCACTGCACTCCAGCCTGGGCAACAAGAGAGAGAGTCTGTCTCAAACAAATAAAAAAGAAAAAAAGAAATTATACAAATGCATTAAAATCAAACATGTTCCTAAATGACCAATAGGTGAATAAAGAAATTATGAATAAAATTTAAAAAATATCCTGAAACAAATAAAAATAGAAACACAACATACTAAAACCTATGGAACGCAGCAAAAGCAGCACTAAGAGGCAAGTTTACAGCAATAATTGTCTACATTAAAAAAACTAGAAATATTTTAAATAAACAACTTAGCAAAGCATCTTAAGAAGCTAGAAAAGCAACAACAAACAAAACACAAAATTAGTAGAAGGGAAGAAAATTGAGATTAAAAAATACAAAAGATCAATAAAGCAAAAAGATGGTTTTCTGAAAAGATAAACAAAACCAATAAACCATTAGCTAGACTAAGAAAAATGAGAAAAGATCCAAATAAATACAATCAGTGATGAAAAAGGAGACATCACAACAGATACCACAGAAATACAAAAAATCACTTGAAACTAGTAGAACAAGTATATGCCAATAAATTAAGAAAACCTAGAGGATGTGAATAAATTCCTGCACACATGAAACCTACCAAGATTGAAAAAAGAAGAAATAGAAAACCTAAACAAACCAATACCAGATAAGGAGATTGAATCAGTAATAAAACATCCCCCAACAAACAAAGTTCAGGACCAAATGACTTCATTGCTGAATTCTAGCAAAACTTTAAAGTAGAATTAATACAAATTCTCAAACTGTTCCAATTTGAAATAAATCATAATATATTGGAAATAAACAACAAAGACTACTGAAAAAAATGCATCCAGAAATTAAAAAAAAGATTTTAAAGTAGCTCATACACTAAAGAAGTAGACATTATGGAATTAAGCAGTCAACTTCAAAAGTTGATAAAACAGAATAAATACAGAAAGAGTAGAATAAAGTTACTGATAATGGTAAGATAAATTTAATATAAGCAATAATGAATATACAACATGCAGAATCAAAAAAGACAAAAGTCATTATTCTGGACAAAAATAAAATTGACCAATAAACAATAAAAATGGCAAGATCCATTAATAAAAACAGAATGAGGATATAAATAAATATCATTGGGAATAAAAAGTGGACGTAATTGTACATGTTATAGAAATTAAACAAATAATATAAAGATTTTATGCTAATACATTTAAAGCTTGGATGGAATGAAAAAATTCATAGAAAAATTTAATCTAACTTAAAAGAAATAGAAAACCTGAATATTTCTATAACTGTAGAGAATCACAAGACCAAAATGGTTGTATCAATAAATTCTACCAATCACTGAACAAAAAAGTAATTCCAAAATTTCACAATTCCAAAAAAAAAAGAAACATAAGACAACACAAAATCCCAGTTTGTATTTGTTTTATGAAGTGACAGAAATCTGATGATAGACAGGAGATCAATACACAAGAAAGGAAACTGATAATACTCCCACAGCAGACATCCAGGACATGGATAAGACCAAAAAGGAAAGTAAGGGGATGTGTGTGTTTCATGATTGTTGTTGCTAAGGGGAATGTCTTCACATTTGTTTTGTTTGTAAAGTAAACATGCTGCTTCCAAAGAATAAAAAGTCTCCCCGTGTCTTATGCTAAATCCTCTGACATTAACTGTCAGAGGAATGCAATTCTTCTAAAGGTCAGCATTTTTGACCTTTAATTTTGAATCATAAGTTTCTTAAGAGACTGAATCTTAAGTTTTTTTGTGAATGCCTGCCTTTTTGTTGTGAATCTTACTAATAAATTAATAATATAGTGAATTTGTATGTTTATAATAATTAATTAATTAAATTTGAGCTGAATTGCTTTGGTGAGAAAAGTAGTCTCACTGCCCTTTGTACATAATTAGTTTTTTCCCAATTTTTAAATCTCCATTTGCTTAGATTCTTTCTTTCTTCGAAATCTCAGTTTATGTTCCATCTCCTCCAGAATGTCCACTCCAACTACTCTAGCTCAGGTGGACTTTGTCTTCCTTAAAATCACAGTTGCTCTTATTATTTCTACCAAATTGATAAATAAGAGTAGTAACCTAAAATCAGACCAATTTACTGCAACTAATTTACCAAGTGACCAATTTGCTTAGTTTGCTAGAGTCAAAAATTTCCCTAGTTCTACTTGGCTGAGTTTCAATTTTTTATGAAATTCATGTTTTAGAACACAAATATGTTTCCATATTCAAGGGGTGGGCTTTTCCTTGCATACACTTCTCATTTTTTTCTTTTTATTTCTTTTATTTCTTTTATTTTTTTTTTTTAGGTTCACACCCTGTTTCTTCCTCTCAGAACGAAATGGCTGTGAAAAATCAGTTTAAGGTGCTTGGTAGTTTTTGATGAATTGATCATTTGGCAAATTGCCTTTTGAAAAATTGATGTTTTAGTAAATTAACATAATCCCCCCCATTTTTTTATGTTCCAAATGCAGCACTCATCAGGAAATATAAAGATGGATAAGATATGGTCTCTGCCTTTTGAGAAAAGACCCCTTAAGCCTGTGTTTCTAGTACTTTGCACACAATCTGGTATGTTGTGAGTAAGAAATAAAAGTTTGTTGAATAAATGAATAAATACACGCAAACCTCAATGTCTGGTGAGGGATGCAGTCCATGAATAACTATAATTTAAGGTGGTATTTGCAATGATAGATATATGTTAAGGCAATTGCATGTACATAAAGACTGATGATTGAAGCATGAATATAGGGTAGAAGGAAAAACTGGAGAAACTTACCAGAGAATACGTTTACACTAAATCTTAAAGGATGCTATATGTTTTGCTACATTGTATTTTGCAAAACATATAGCAGGTAAATAAGAGAGAGACGTTCCGAATGAAAGACTAAGTCGTACATGTCATGGGGGCCATGAAAATGTGCTCAGCATATTCTACGGCTGCCTAACACATAACCACAAAAACAGCACGCTTTTATTCTTACACGGTTTTCATAGTTCAGGGCATGGCTTATCTGGGTTCTCCTAGGATTTCACAAGGCTGTAATGTGTCAGCTGAACTGTGTGCCTTTCTGAAGCTAGGGATCCTCTTCTAAGTTCAAGTGGATGTTAGGAAAATTTAACTCCTTATGGTCATAGGATGAAGGCCCTCAAAACCCTAGGAGCTGCCTCTGGTTCTTTACCATGTGGACTTCTCCATTCACATCGTAACAACTTGACTTGCTTCTTCAAGTCCTGAAGGAAGGTCTCTCTGTGTGAATAAAAGTTATCTGAAAAGGAATTTGGATGAAAGAGGCTTTATTTCAGTGAACAGTTTGTAAACCAAGCAGACATTGACTTTGGTGTAAAATCAAGATGCTGTTCCAGAAAACACAGAGAGGGCTAGTTTTAGAGTGAAAGTTCCCATTCAGTTTTCCAATCAGGTCGATTTATGCAAATGAAGGACTCAAACTTGTTTGGTTCTGATTGGTTGATGCAGCTGAGTTCTGATTGGTTAACACAGTTGAGCCCTAATTAGTCAAAGCAGATGAGTTCTGATTGGTTGGTTCAAGGGAGCTCTGATTGATTGATTCACGTGAGTTATGAAAACTCAAAAGTTAAACAGAGGTATGGGTTTCCTGAGAACTCAGAGTACATCTGTGACCTCTACTCAGCAAATGGCCACTTGGCTCTGTTTGAATTTAGACCCAGTTAGCCACTTGGGATCTATCGTGAAGCATTAGCTCCTTCAGGTTCACATTTGTTCACAAAAGCACACTAGAAAGGCAGAGTCATATGTATTTCATAACCTAACCGTGGCAATGATATTGCACGACCTTTGTCATGTAGTATTATCTACTCACAGAAGTGACATCCAATCACCTTTGCTACATTATATTGGTTAGAAGCAAGTCACAGGTCCTGCCTACACTTAAGAGGAGGGGATTACACAATAGCTTGAAAGTCTGGGGCAGAAATTTTTAAGGCCTACCTTAAGGTGTATCCACCACAATGAAGATACATGTGGCAGGGGAACAATAGCACATGAAGCTGGTGTTTTCAAGGGTGGCAGGAATTGGATCTTAAAAATACTTGGATACCTATATGAAATGTAAAGAAAATAGATTTAAAGACATAGTAAGCTTTAAGTTTATCCCTATATCCTTTTTGGAAAAGCTTTCTTAAGAAAATTAATGGCGTAAATAAGTTTGCAGAGAACATATGTTAATGTTTCTTGGATTACTAAGAGTATTTGAAAATATGAAACTATTTCCTTTAGAGAAAAATTACTATACCATTTGAACTTTCTGTTTACAGAGTTTAAATTGGTTCACTTCTAATAACTTAAGTCTTGTTCAAAAACAAGATGCACAAACTTTGCACAACATTTCCTGTCTTTGAGTTATACAACATCAGTTCATCTGGTGAAACGTTCTAGCTGATCTGTTAGAGCATTAGAAAATCATAAACATCTGACCTTGCATGTCGACTTTTTTCTTTCACTTCTCTCTCTCTGTCTTTTAAAAGCTGTAAGGCAAATGTGGCTGCCACCCATTCGCTCTGAGATACCTTTACTTTGGGCTTCAAACAGTCAAGTTCAAAGAAATTGTAGTTATATTGGGCTCCTATGTGTCTCATAGAAAAACGCAAGACAAGAACATGTGTGTTGTTTTTAAATAATTTGATGAATCTGTGCTTCCCTGATAAAAGTCTTTCAATGACTCACCAATAATTAGAGTCTACATCTTCTTTCCTCCAAGTTTTTTTAAATGATGGAAAATGTCATACAAATATACAAAGTCATAGAGAGCAGTTTAATTGTCAACCTTGTTAATCTATACTCTTATCTCCTTTATTTCCTATTCCTTAAATTGTTAGAGCAAATTCCAAACTATCTGAATTCATCAGTAGTATACTCTAATACATACATAAAAAAGACAAGTACTCCTTTAAAAAATAACCACAATGCCATTAAAACACCTAAAAATTAACACTAAATTTGTATTATCATCAAATAGCTAAATAGTTTTAAATTTTTCTTAATTCCCTCTCTCTTGTTTTTGACAGCTGGATTGTCTGAACAAGGATTCTAATAAGGTACCTGCTTCACTGGCCCCCTGTATTTCATCACTGAGTCTTTTTTCACCCATGAGTACTCTTCTCACTCCTTTTAAATTTTCTTATACATTTTTTGTTGCAGAAATTGGGTGATTTGTTCAGTCTGAATTTTGCCAATTGCTTCACATGAAATTTAACTTAACATGGTTTTCTGTCCCTCTATTTAGGTATTAGGCTGAATCAAATAAAATTTCATATTTGTAGGTCAAAATGGCAATTTTATATGGCTTAACCTGATACTTAGATCTAGAGGTGAGATCAGATTTAGCTTCAAATTTTTGACAAGAGTACTTCACAGTTGTCTCATATTTTGTTCCTCCAGGCAGAATCCAATGATAGTTTCTCTCTTTGTGTGTGTGTGTGATGTTAAGATTAATCTGGCCATTATAAAATTCTCCAAAAACTTTTCATCTATTGGCTTCGGGAGGATTGGTAATCATTACTCTGATCCATTGTTTTATTAGAGGCTACAAAATGGTATTGTTTATTAATTAATGTAATTCTTTTAAAAAGATTAACTTTCTATAATCAACTATTTGGTTACAAACTAAAGGATAGTTTATAAAGAAAGGCAGGACAAATGTTTGGTTATCTGCATTTAGTTCACAGTTTTCTCAATTATGCTTTGGTTCTCCTGGCATCCTCCAGAGGTGACCATTGAGCTGGTTTTTAATTTTCATTTTCAGAATAATTTAGACATATATGGGACAGCTTTAACTCTCATGAAGGTATTCATTGATTTTGATGCTCAAATTGTCCTCTCTTTGGTAGTTAAAAGCCACTTCAAGTTAGCTTTTGAGTTCTTTTCATAAAACTTCAGCAGACTTCAATAACTTCTTTGATTTTCAGAACTGAAAAGTATGGTACATTTATTGTCCCAGGCCTAGAATTTCTTGTAGGTACCATAGTTTGCTCCAGTAAGAAGTGTCATATGGAGAAAAGTATAGGGAATAAGGGTGCCACTGGTATTTAGCTGGTCATCATTTCTAGGTCTTTTTAGTGGGCAGAAGTAAAAAAAATGCATATTTTAAAAAAGAAAATACATCATAAATGTATGCAGACATCTATATAACTAAAATTCATATTAAAGCATTTTGACTTAATTTCTCTGATTGTACACAACACACCTCTCTTCTCCCATGGAAACATTTTATTCCCAACACAACCAACATAATTGTGCCCTTGTCTTATCCTGCATACACATACATCAGTTCAGAATAACAACACAGATATTACCACCAAAATTATGAATAGCAAACACTGATCAAAATTTCTTTGGAATTATTTTTCCTGTTAGAATATATCCCCCTAGGGATGTACAGCCACATGGCTGTATTTTCAAGTCACTTGAAATAATTTCTATGTGAGATTAAGCCAATCACTCAATACAAAATTAAGTTTGTTTTGTTTCCAATTCTTAAAATTACTTTATTTTTTGAATAACTTTTATTTACAGTTTTGCAAAACATTTACATGATTCCAGATAGCATAACAGTATTGGGGATAATCTTTGCTCCTTCTTACAGCTGGTAGTACTCCAATGTGTAAATAAATGTATTAATACTATAGTTTATTCAACCAATCTTCTATTGAATAGACATTTAAGTTGTTTCCACTCTTTTGCTATTAGAAATAGTAACACAATGAATAGCCTTATGAATATATCTTCTTTGGGGGAGGCAGATCATTGAATAATTAAGTTAAAATCCTCCACATGAGATTGCTGATTAAAATGGTAAAAGCATATGTAATTTTATTAGATGTTGCATAAATCTGTTCTCTAGTAGTTGTACCACTTGACATTCTACCAGCAATATATAAGACTTATTTCCCAGCTCGGCACGGTGGCTCACACCTGTAATCCCAGCACTTTGGGAGGCCGAGGTGGGTTGATCACTGGAGGTCAGGAGTTTGAGACCAGCCTGGCCAACATGGTGAAACCCCATCACTACTAAAAATACAAAAAAAAATTAGCCAGGTGTGGTGGTGCAGGCCTGTAATCCCAGCTACTCGGGAGGCAGAGGCAGGAGAATTGCTGGAACCTGGGAGGTGGAGGCTGCAGTGAGCTGAGATCATGCCACTACACTCCAGCCTGGGTGACAGAGCAAGACTCCATCAAAAAAAAAAAAAAAAAAAGACTTATTTCCCCAAAGGTTTACCAACAGAATATACCATTAAACTTTTACATTTTTGACAGTACGATAGGTGAGAATGATAACTGTAGTTTTAATCTGCAACTCTATTATTATGAATGACGTTGAGCATATTTTCATGTTAAAGGGCCATCTGCCTTTCTTTTTCTGTTAAGTCTATATTTATATCTCTTGTTCATTTTTCAATAGAGTTATTGGAGTTTTTCTTCTATTAGACAATCTTTCTATTTTAGGGATACCAACTCTTTTCTGTCATATAAGTTGCAAAAATTTTTTCCAGTTTGTCATTTTTTTCATTATATTTAAGATTTATTTTTGCCATATTTTTTAAATTGTTATATCTTGTGTTTATTAATCTGTTCCTTTATTGCTTCTTAAGTTTTTCCTCTTTCAGATTATAGAGGATTTACTCATGCTTTCTTCTAGTATTTGTATGTTTTCCATTTTTACATTTAAATATCTCATAATACACTTTTTTTTTCTGGTGTATGATGTGAGAAATAACCTAGTTTTATCTTTTGTTATAATGTGAATATCAGATTACTCCAACATCATTTACTGTTTTTCTTTCCCCCACTGATTTGCAGTGCTGCTTATTAATATACTGAATTCCATATGCAATTGATTCTATTTCTAGACATTCAGCTATATTTCATTGATTTCTTTGTAAACCCATTTACCCATACCATATGGTTTTACTTTTAGAGGATTTATGTTTTACTACCTGGTAGGGATAGCCACCTCTTACCCTATCCTATTGCTCTTGTGTTTTCTGAGATATTCTGACTATTAGTGCTTATTATTATTTTATTTTATTTATTTTATTTTTTACCTCTATGTTAGGTTTGGGGGTAAAAGTGAAGGTTTGTTACGTAGGTAAACATGTGTACATATTATTTCATCACCCAGGTATTAAGGCCAGTACTCAACAGTTATCTTTTCTGCTCCTTTCCCTCCTTCCACCCTGCCCCATCAAGTAAACCTCAGTGTCTGTTGTTTTCTTCTTTATGTTCATAAGTTCTTATCATTTAGCTTCCTCTTATAAGTGAGAAAATGTGGTATTTGGTTTTCTGTTCCCGCATATATTATTATTCTTTTATTTATTTAAAAAATTTTAAAATTCTTCTTATTATTTCAGAAGTTTTTGGGGAACAGGTGGTGTTTGGTTACATGAATAAGTTCTTTTGGTGTGATTTATGAGCTTTTGGTGCATCCATCACTTGAGCGGTGTACACTGTACCCAATGTGTAGTCTTTTATCCCTTACCCCTCTCTTACACTTCCTCCTGAGGTCTCAAAGTCCATTGTCTTGTTCTTATGCCTTTGCACCCTCATATCTTAGCTCCCACTTATAAGTGAGCACACATAATGTTTGGTTGCCCATTTCTGAGTTAGCTCACTTAGATTAATGGTCTCCAACTCCATTCAGCTTGCTAAGAATGCATTATCTCATTCCTTTTTATGGCTGAGTAGCATTCTATGGTATATATACATCACATTTTCTTTATCCACTCATCAGTTGATGGGCATTTAGGCTGGTTCCATATTTTTGCAATTGTGAATTGTGCTTCTATAAACATGCGTGTGCAAGTGTTTTTTTCATATGATGACTTCTTTTCCACTTGATAGGCACCAGTAGTAGAATTACTGAATCAAATGATAGTTCTAATTTTATTTATTTAAGGAATTTCCATACTCTTTTGCATAGTGGTTATACTAGTTTACACTCCCGTTAGCATTGCAAAAGTGTTCCCTTTTCACCACATCCACACCAACATCTATTTTTTTTATTTTTTGATTATGGCCATTCTGCAGGGTTAAGGTGGAATTGCATTGTGGTTTTAATTTGCATTTCCCTGATCATTAGTGATGCTAAGCATTTTTTCATATGTTTGTTGACCATCTGTATATCTCCTTTTGAGAATTGTCTATTCATGTCCTGAGCCCACTTTTTGATGGGATTTTTTGTTTTCTTTTTCTTGCTGATTTGTTTGAGTTCCTTGTAGATTTTAGATATTAGTCCTTTGTCAGATGCATAGTTTGTGAAGATTTTCTCCCACTCTAAGGGTTGTCTGTTTACTCTGCTGATTATTACTTTTGCTGTGCGGAAGCTTTTTAGTTTAATGAAGTCCCATCTACTTGTCTTTATTTTTGTTGCATTGGCTTTTGGGTTCTTGGACGTGAATTCTTTGTCTAGGACAATGTCTAGAAGAGTTTTCCTGATGATATCATCTGAATGTTTATGGTTTCAGGTTTTAGATTTAAGTTTTTTATCCATTTTGAGTTGACTTTTGTTTAAGGTGAGAGATGACGATCCAGTTTCATTTTTCTACATGTGGCTTGAAAATTATCTCACCACTATTTGTTGAATAGGGTGTCTTTTTCCCACTTTATGTTTTTTTTTGCTTTGTCAAAGATCAGTCGGCTGTAAGTATTTGGCCTTATTTCTGGGTTCTATATTCTGTTCCATTGGTCTATGTACCTGTTTTTATACCAGTATCATGCTGTTTTGGTAATTATAGCCTTGTAGTATAGTTTGAAGTTGGGTAATGTGATGCCTGCAGAACCATTCTTTCTCTTAGTCTTGCTTTGGCTATGCAGGCTCTTTTTAGTTCCATATGAATTTTAGGATTTTTTTTCTAGTTCTGTGAAGAGTGATAATGGTATGTTGATGGGAAATGCATTGAATTCATAGATTGCTTTTGGCAGTGTAATCATTTTCACAATATTGTTTCTACCCATCCAGGAGCATGGGATATTTTTATTTGTTTGTGCCATTTATAATTTCTTTCAGCAGGGTTTTGTAGTTTTCCTTGTAAAGATCTTTCACCACTTCTATTCAACATAGTACTGGAGGTCCTGCCCAGATCAATCAGACAAGAGAAAGAAATAAAGGGCATACAAATAGGTAAAGAGGAACTCAAACTCTCACTGTTCACTGATGATATGATCATATACCTAGAAAACCCTAAAGATTCATCCAAAAGGCTCCTAGATCTCATAAATGAATTCAGTAAAGTTTCAGGATACAAAATCGATGTGCACAAGTCAGTAGCACTGCTATACACCGATAACGACTGTATTAATTTGCTCTTATGCTGCTATGAAGAAATACCTAAGACTGGGTAATTTATAAAGGAAAGAGCTTTAATTGACTCACAGTACACATGGCTGGGGATGCCTGAGGAAACTTACAATCATGGTGGAGGGTGAAGAGGAAGCAAGGCATCTTCTTCACAAGGTGGTGGGAAACAGAAGTGCCAAGCAAAGGGGAAAAAGCCCCTTATAAAACAATCAGATCTCATGAGAACTCACTATCATGAAAACAGCATGGGGGTGACCACCCCCCATGATTCAGTTACCTTCCCCTGGGTCCCTCCCATAACACATGGGGATTATGGGAACTACAATTCAAGATTAGATTTGGGTGGGGATTCAACCAAACCATATAACTCTTCTCTGGCCCCTCCCAAATCTCATGTCCTCACATTTAAAAACACAATCGTGCCCTTCTAACAGTCCCTCAAAATCTTAACTCAAACTCATTCCAGCATTAATCCAAAGACCAAGTCCAAAGTCTCATCTGAGACAAGGCAAGTCCCTTCTACCTATGAGCCTGTAAAACCAAAAGCAAGTTAGTTACTTCCTAGATATGATGGGAGTATAGGCATTGGGTAAATACATCTGTTCCAAATGGAAGAAATTGGCCAAATCAAAGGGGGTACAGGCCTAATGCAAGCCCAAAATCCAATATGGCAGTCACTAAACCTTAAAGTTTCAAAATAATCTCTTTTGACTCCATGTCTCACATCCAGGTCATGCTGATGCAAGAGGTAGGCTTCCATGGCCTTGGACAGCTCTGCACCTGTGGCTTGGCAGGGTATAACCCCCCTCTGGGCTGCTTTCATGGCTGGCATTGAGTATCTGTGGCTTTTCCAAGCACATGGTGCCAGCTGTTAGTGGAACTATGATTCTGGGGTCTGGAGGACAGTGGCCTTCTTTTCACAGCTCCTCTAGGTAGTGCCACAGTGGGGATTCTGTGTGGGTGCTCCAACTCCACATTTCCCTTCCTCACTGCCTTAGCAGAGGTTCTCCATGACAGCCCTGCCCCTGCAGCACATTTCTGAAGCCATGCCCCAAGCTGTACCTTGGCCCCTTTTAGCCACAGCTGGAGTGGCTGGGATACAGGGCACCAAGTCCCCAAGCATGCACACAGTAGTAGGGCCCTGGACCTGGCCCAGGAAACCATTTTTTATTTCTCCTAGGCCTCTGGACTTATGATGGGAGGGGCTGCTGGGAAGGTCTCTGACATGCCCTGGAGACATTGACATGCCCTGGAGACATTTTCCCCATGGTCTCTGTCATTAACATTTGGCTCCTTGTTACTTATGCAAGTTTCTGCAGCTGACTTGAATTTCTCCCCAGAAAATGGGTTTTTCTTTTCTACCACATTGTTGGGCTGCAAGTTTTCCAAGCCTTTATGCTCTGTCATCTCTGGAACACTTTGCTGCTTAGAAATTCCTCTCTCCAGGTACCCTAAATTATCTCTCTCATGTTCAAAGTTCCACAGATCTCTATGGCAGGGGGAAAATGCCACCAGTCTCTTTGCTAAAGCATAGCAAAAGTCACCTTTATTCCAGTTCCCAATAAATTTCTAATCTGCATCTGAGGCCACTTTAGCCTGGACTTAATTGTTCATATCACTATCAGCAGCATTTTGTTTAAAGCCATTCAACGAGTCTCTAGAAGTTCAGATTTTCCCACATCTTCCTGTCTTCTGAGCTCTCCCAGTCTCTAGGAAGTTCCAAACTTTCCTACATTTTCCTGCCATCTTCTGAGCCCTTCAAACTGTTCCAACCTCTGCCTATTACCCAGTTCCAAAGTCGCATCCACATTTTTGGGTATCTTTATAGCAGTACCCCACTCTCTGAAGTAACAGATTACTGTATTAGTCTGTTCTCACACTACTAGGAAGAAATATCTGAGACTGGGTAATTTATAAAGGAAAGAAGTTTAATCGACTCACAGTTCAGCATGGCTGGAGAAGCCTCAGGAAACTTACAATCATGGTGGAAGGGTAAGGGGAAGAAAGCCACCTTCACAAGGCAACAGGAAGAAGTGCCTAGCCAAGGGGGAAAAGCCTTTTATAAAACCATCAGATCTCATGAGAACTCACTCACTATCCTGAGAACAGCATGGGGTAACTGCCCCATGATTCAATTACCTTCCACCTCTCCCTCCCAGGACATGTGATTATGGGAACTACAATTCAAGATGAGATTTGGGTGGGGACACAGCCAAACCACATTAGCGACCAAGCTGAAACTCAAAGCAAGAACTCAACCTCTTTTACAACAGCTGCAAAATAAATAAATAAATAAATAAGGAATATACCTAACTAAACATGTTATATTATTATTTTTAATATAAAACTTTGTAATTAACTTGTTGAGCTTCAGAAAAAGTGGTATATGGTATATGTATATATACACATATATGTACATATGTATGTATATATGCATGTATATATGTCTATGTATATATGTATGTATATATGTATATGTATATGTGGATATATACCTATATGTATATATGTGTATATGTCTATATACCTACATGTATACATGTATGTATATATGTATGTATTCATGTATACATATATGTATATATGTGTAGGTATATGTGTATATGTATACATGTATACATGTGTGTATACATGTGTGTATACATACGTGTATATGTGTGTATATATGTATATATGTATTTATGTGTGTATATATATATTTTTTTACTGAAATCACACTGCATTTATAATTTAACTTAGTGGGAAGGGGCAACTTTCTTGCATTGAGCTTTCCGACTCCAAAACATGGATTATCTTTCTATTTATACAGTCTAGTTTTGTGCCCTTCAGAAATGTTTCATGTGGTTTGTTCAGGAGATTTTGGATATTTATTGATAAGTGCTTTGCCTAGGTTATTTATTTATTTACATCACAAATGGGAGGTTTTCCTTTTCATTGTGTTTTCTCAGCAAGTTTTGTTTGTTTATATGGAATGGAGCCTGAATCATAACATGGCATTCTGGGCCTTCCATCTCTCTCTTTTCTGTTTCATTTACTACATTTTTCTTGTGCTAACCATATGTTCTTCAAGAAATATTTTCTATAAATGCCCCTAAAGAGCCTTGTTTTTTCAATTCTTCAGTCCTGCTTAAGTATCCTTCTTGATTCCCTCCCCAACTTTTTTTCGTCTGTAATTTTGTAAACTCTTTTACACCTTCTAAGTCCTCTCTTCCACATATTTCTCCTACAGCATTTAGGTCTGCATTCAAATGCTACACAACATAAGTTGGTTTTCAGTTACTTTTCTGGGTGTGCTTGTCTATTATATAAAGCAAGCCTCTGAGATACAGAATGGCAGGAACTATGCTTCACACTTTGATTTTTTTTTTTTTTTGGTACCCAGTGGATTGAACCTACTGCATGCTCAGTAAAATTTGTCTGTTGATCTTCACCAAATATTTTAAATTATCTCTGGTAACTTTCACTTTCATTAGAACAGCTTGATACATTCTAATTCTGGTGATCTAATATGCATAACAGCCCTTAGGAGCTGAGTCAGAAGAGAACTTTCATCCCACCTCCAGGAGACAGCCCATTGGAAGATTAAGAAACCTGCCCCACAGAAGGCCAGGTCTAAGCCAGGCTTGAAGCCAGCTCTTCCAAGAGTTCAGGGCTTTTTCTGCTGAACTTTTTGGCCTCTTTCTGCTCAAAGAGCTGAGTCATAAGTTGTCCTAAATAGCCCTCAGGAGTGTCTTCTCCAGCTTTGGGAACAAGTTGCTGGAGATTGAAAAAGAAGGAGAGTTTGGAGTCATTGCAGTTTCAGTGGGCCTATAGTAACACAGGTCTTAAAATTTCTGTCCAGTTCAAACACACAAAATAAATTTATTTCCCTAATTACTGTTGATTTTGAAACAAGAATGACCAAACTGCTTGTTTTGTAAGTAAACCACAAAACTTGGAAGTAGTAACAACTCTCTAATTCTTTGTTGAGATCCTTCATCAATAATTAGAATAATAGTAGTCCCACTTGAATAACATATCTGGTTCAAAGCCACCAACAGACCTTGAGAGACCAAAGAAAAGTAGAATACTACAGTTCTTCCCACCTGTGTTCTGTGCTATGCGCTTCCACACATATTGCTTTCATGCGTCTTCCTTCTTGGGAAGGCATTGTGACTCCATGAATAGAAGCAATGGCTTAAGCCCAGAAGGACCTAATTTCAATTTTGTTTCTTTCATTACTGTTTATTGGGCATGTAACTTAACCTCTCATACTTCTAAAGTATTTTCATCCTATGGGGAGAGACTGTAATAAAATTTTTGCAGAGTGTTTTATAATCTGGAGATGAAATGCACAATGTAAAGCCACCACCAAGTTGTTATTAGTTATAGCCAGGACTCAAGTCAGCTGTCAGTATTGCAAGGAGGAGCAACTCCACTGTGTAAAATGACAATCCCTTCATGAGCTTTCAAATGCATAGAACTTGCTGACACAAATACTGCAGCACATCAAAGGGTAGAAAATCAAGGTAATGATTGCAGTGGAATAGAAGGAAGTCTGCTGGTGTGGTATCAGAGAACTCTTAGTTAAAAAAAGAATAATCTGAAATTTGTTTTAAAAACTGAAGACTGTTTGATGGTAAAGCTGCAGAATCCTTTCTGTCTGCTTCCAGCCCTATGAGAACTTGGATAGCATTCACATGTATTGACATCTGACAGGAAAAAACAGAATTACTGCAGAGGCTGTTGGAGAGCTCATTGTATTATGACTAAGCTCACTAAGAATCAAATTCTACTAGTTTCATTAAAGGGTTTTGTGCCTGGCGTATCATAAGTGCTTAGTAAATGTTACTCTTATTATTTTGCTTGGAAGAAGAAAAATACTGCACCCACGGGTCACCACAGACATAGGATGATGCACATAGCATTGCTTTCACAAATAGCAGAAAGTGTGCATATCTGTCTACACATAAGCCAGTAAAGAATATCTCCAACTCTGTCTTTTGTTCCCCAGAAAAATACTTGGAGGTTTTTGGAGCTCACCATGTTTCATCCCTGAAAATGGACTTGATTTTAGTTTAGACTGGGTTCTTCAACCATTGTCTCCAGACAAAAAGTCATTACACAGCCATGGTAGAACATTCATTCTCTGAACCTTTTCATAGAATCCACTGGGGCAAAGGTTTTCTCTATCAAGCCAGGTGATTAGAAAGAGCATAGAAAAGGCTGGTAACTCTCCTCTAGACTACAGCCTTATATGAATGTTAGATTTTCACAGCGTGTGTTATTCCACAATTTCCCCTGCTTCTTCTCCTACCAGTTGGCTTGCTTGTAATTTGGGCTGCTGGGCTTTGGTGGCTCAGACCTTCTCCTTCATGGAAGGCTCTCAGCCTCCCTAGTAAAGTTCCATATTTTTATTATGTAGGATTGACCACCAACTACAAAAGAACTTTTTAGATTTCCCTAGGGAAATAAGCAGGGGGCAAATGCATACTAGTCACCATCATAATGTTTTAGTTTTTCCTGTTACATTAAGCTCTTTTTCTTGTTTAAGATGAACAATTTTAGGCTATCTCTCAAGACAGCTTTGCCATCAGAGTGACCACAGAGGATGACAATAACAGCAGGTGTTGTTTGTTGAAAGCTCAGCTGGTATCTGGTTTTGTGGCGAGTATTTAAAATGCATTATCTCACTTAAAACGTAAGTCATCCCTGAAACTCAGAGAGGTTAAGTAAGTTTCTCAGCATCATACAGGGGGGAAGTTATCAGGATTCACACCTAGGCTTACACATCTTGAATTTTTTATAGTTATTCTATATGCTATTGGCAATGTCAATAATAACACCACCAAGAATTAAGTTGGTCATATTTTCCCTTTGATGTTAGGCAGTGAATAAGTAAAGCATCCTAATATTAAAAATCAAATAAACAAACAAATGGACAGAAACCCAGATTATTATTATTATTTTTGTTAAAGAGCACACTCCATTGGGAACAGACTGCTGCACAGTGACTGACAAAGGCCACCCAATGGGCACTTACACATCGTACTCCAAAAGACATGGGATATTTTGCTAATAAAAATCAACGGGAACAGGGATTCCTCTGGGCAACTCCCCCAACCTCATCCTTTTCAGGGGTCGAGGAATCGCCCAACCATTTTCCTGATGGCAGCTGTGGTTCACTAGAGATAGAGCCCCTCAGGGGTGCCTTCCTGTTTCTTATAAAGAACATTTCTTTATATTTTTTGAAGAATTCATTCGTTACTTTCATTCTACGTTCTCTTGAGGCCATCAGACCAGCTTCTGTACAGATTGCCTTGATGTCAGCACCAGAGAGGTCATCTTTAACCATGATCAAGTCGTCCAGGGTTACTTCATCGGCCAGTGTCATCCTGCTTGTGTGATTCTGAAAGATACGCTTCTTAGTCCTTTCATCAGGCAGGGAGAACTTGATCTTCCTGTCAATGCGGCCTGGTCTGATAAGTGCTAGATCCACAGTTTCTATTCTGTTTGTTGCCATAATAACTTTCATGTCTCCCCTAGAATCAAATCCCTTCAACTGGTTCAACAGTTCCAACATTGTTCACTGAATTTCTCTCTTACCACCAGAATTTGAGTCATATCTTTTTGTCCCAATGGCTCCAATTTCATCAGTAAACATGATGGATAGTTCATGCTCTTCAGCAACTCAAAACAATTACCATATGAATACGAGTTTGGGCCCATCACCTAGGTACTTCTGAATAAGTTCAGAGCCAACCACTCTCAAGAAAGTGGCTGAGGTTTGGTTTGCTACTGCTTTGGATAACAAGGTTTTGCCTGTGCCAGGTGGACCATAGAGAATGACCCCCTTAGGAGGCTTTTTACCCATCTCTTCATAATATTCAGGATGGGTGAGAGGAAACTCCACAGCTTCCTTTATTTCCTGAATTTGGTTGTCCAGCCCCCCAATATTGGCATAGGTCTCCTGGGGGGTCTTTTCCATCTTCATCACTGTGACCAGGGGATCCGTGTCATCCATCAGCACCCCATCACGGCATGCACCTTGTGGTTGAGCAGGACCGAGCAGCCAGTTTCCAGAAGATCCTTGTCTATGAATGAAAGAATGTTGACATAGTGTTCTGAGCCCACAGATGTAGACATGATGGCATGATTGTCATCAATGATCTCTTCCGAGGTTCCTACTGACATCGGGGTCCCCCTCAGATCATCCACTTTTGATCTTTCCTCCTTTTGCTTTTCTTCTAATGGTTTCATCTGTTCCTGATTTCTAATGAATTCTTCCTCCATGAGAAGATAGTCTTTAATTCTCTCTAATGTCAGTAATTTTAACCGGCACTGAGTGTGAGGTGTCACCAGTGGCAGTTTGCTGACTGCATCTGGTCCCTTTGTTTTCTTCTTCTTTTTCCTCACTCTAGTTGGTACAGAAGGTTCATATTTCTTTTTTTTGTCCTTGTCATCCTTCTTGCCACTTCCAGGACCATGACCACCACTCTGACTTTGACCCATCTTGCCTTGGCCACTTGAGGTAAAAAACTCGGATTATTAAGATGCCTGTTGGTTACTTAACAATTTTAGTTTCACTATATTATTTAGCTACAAATAGCAGTGGGTTCAAACATTTTCCCTTGCTGGGGATATAATTTCTAGAAAGTGTTCTTTGCAGTGAAACTGAACTTGAAGTCATTAAGTAGTAATTAATATTAGCTCCTGCTTTGAAAGCATTATATTTAACAAGGCTTCATAGGAATAATAATAATAATATGAAACGGGGTTTTGGTTTATAGTTTAATTCCAGGAAGAAAGTATATGCTTTTTAAAATTTACCAGAGTATTTAGTAACATTGTTTTCATCTCCAGTGAGCATGCATTGCTGATTTTAAAGAGACAATGCAGCTGCAAAAAAATAGAAAAACAGAACAATTTCAGGACAGGAAGCTCAAGTTTTAGAGAAAGAGAGCTATAGTAACATGTAGTGGAGGTTACCCTGTAGTTCCAACAGAATGCTGAACAGTGAGTTTCATGCTGTTTTATCTAAGCAACAAATTGGCAAAAATATAAAACACAAGCCTAGAAAATGAACAGGAATCTAGTGAACAAATCACTTAATAGAGGTATTATTTTCTGTGTAACTCCGGTGTGAGCAAGCGTGGTCCCCTCAATCTTGGTGTCAATTTCACACTCTGTGACGATCCAATGTCCTCTTGAAATGTTTGCAAATTCACGGGTGAAGAGGGCTAATGTTCTCATGGTCATGAGTTCAGTCTTCCTCCAATCTTAGTAGCACATTCAGAATTAGTTCTCAAAAGAATATTGCTGATTTGTTAAAGGGTGTATGGTTATGCTCTCAAACTGAAGGGACTTTTGCTCCAGTGGATATAGTGGGTCATAAGGGCATATGTTAGCGCTTTCTGCACTGAATGCAAGATTAGGTTTTATATCTTCTGTTGGCCTGGGCCTCTTTGAGAGCTATTGACTTTTGGAATCACTTGGTAAATTGGCCGAAGTAGAATACCTTGCCTTTCTCTTGCAGAGTCCAGCAAACATTACAGGGTTGTGGTTTTGTTTTTTTTTTCTTCTGAAGCATCTTGCTGCTCTATATCTTATCAATATAATGTGTTTAATGGAATAAATCAGCATGATGTCTTACAGGATTGTAAGTTGTTCTTGGGAATTAAATTATGACACAGAACTGGGGAGTTGACAACCGACAGTTGGCATTCTTACCACAGTAAAGGCATACTTTTGTCTCCACCAAGTGAAAACACACGATTCTTAGTGTTCTTTGTTTCTGGGAATGGATAAAAATGCATGTTATCTATCAATAACTGCAAACTAGGTGGCATAACCCCTGTAAGAAAATCAATCTGGCAGGCAGCTGTAATAGGCAATAACACTATTCTTCTTAGTGTTTTGCACTTGCCAAAGAGAAATGCATTATGTTCTTTGAATCTTACAGCTTCCTAGAAATGAAAGCAGAATAGTTTTTCTCCCCATTTTACAGATATGAAGACTGAGTAACAGAGAGTACATTTTGTTGGGAAAACATTTATGAGGGTACTGAGACTCTGAGGAGCTTGTTCTGAAGTGCCATTTTCCTTGAGCAGTTTTTTGTGTTTTTCCTTATAGATTAGCCTATGTTGCATTGCAGGCTGAGGGCAAGGGGCCTGAAGTCAGACTGCTTTAGTTGGAACTTAAATTCTGCCACTTGTCTTGGGCAAATTGCTCAGCTTCTCTGTGACTCAGTTTTCTCATCTGAGGATTAAATGAAGATTAAATATATGAATGCAAAGTAAAGTACTCAAAACAGAGTCGGACACTGTTAGCATTCTATCTATAATTACTGAAGAAGCAATAACTGGCAAGGTTAAAATCTTACAACCCAAAGTCAAATGTAGAAGATTTAAAATATTCTACATTAAAAATGTATTTTCTATCAGGTCCTGGGCTACCTTCACCTTCTTCAATGAGTGGATCAAGTAGGAAACTATATCTCATTGGTTTAAAGTTGAGGTGACTTGTGTGCTAAGTGCCTCTGCTGGCGTGCAGAGAACCCTTTGCATGATTAGCATTGACCTGACAAATTGCTGTACTCTCCAAGTGATTCAGCCAAGCCATTTCCCCAGTGCTGACAAAGCACCAATCCCAGGTACTGCACAACAGGGCCGCCATTATCTACCATTTCAGGAAGACAAGGAGCTTAGATGGAGAATATTACAATTATTTTCACAAATTAGATGGCTGTATTTGAATCTGAGAGCAAAAATTCGTGGGTAATATATATCTTTCTATGTCTATCTCTCTTGAATATAGAGAAGGTAGTTACAATTGGTAATTGAAACATTGCCTATCAGTGTGAAATTTATGAGATGAATTTTAATAAATACATGGACTTTTCAAGTGTCTTTTACTGACAAAAACAGCTGAATTGATTAAAACTAATTTGCACAATTTGTGGTTTATGGTGAGAAACTGACAGCAAAAAAATGGAGCATTTTTAATATAAGTACATTTTTGAACTTGGGGTATTTTTGTTTACATCATGTTGGTAAATGTTTAAACCTTATACTTCAAAAAATTTGCATTTGAAGGGTGACAGACTTTTCTTTGCATCAATTCAAATTATTTAATTATAGTGGAGACAGAATTTATCTATTTTCATGAATCTGTTACATTTTCATTGAAGTTTAGAGATTTGAATTTTTTTCAGAGTTAATAACTTTTATTAAATTGACTTGATGATATTTTGTTGCATATTTTTTCTTTTAGTATTATGGTGAAATCCTTTTGCTTTAAGTTGTGTAACTGCTATTTATATTCCTAATGGAATATAAGACCTTGGAGGCTTCTAGGGTTTCTCTTACTGGAACTGTCTACGATTAAAAGGTTGAATTATTGGTCTCTTACGATAGAAGCACATTCAGACTTGTTACTTGTTATAGTTTAATATCCATCTCATTAGAACCACTGAGAATCAATCTCCAATTTGCAAATAACTTGGATTTGAGGCATTGGTTTGTGAGTAATCTGTATCATTTTGGGGAGTTCTTTTTTTGTACCATAACGGTAAGTCAATATCAGTTGTTGCGTTTTCTGTTTGCTTAAAAATATTGGAGTATAAAATTGGTTGTCAGGCGGCTTGAGGTTTAGTTCCAGGTTTGCTTTTAGCTCACTTTAGTAACTTACTTAACTTCCGTGTGCCTTGGCATCTTCATCTATAAAATAAAGAGGGAGGAATTAGGTCAGACTGGAGCATCTTAACCGTTCTGTTTCTGAATTTCTCTTTGAATTTACCAAGGTAGATTCTGCACTAGTTTTGGCAGACTCAAGTCATAAGGTTGGTTAAGGTTAGAAAAGAGGATGAATAGGAGGGAGCACCTCAGATCAATTGGGAGCTAGGGAAATTAAACTGTTTATAAAGGAAGATCCTAGTAGAGGCTGCGTAGAGGTCCTACACATGGACCCTCAAGGCTTGGCAAAATTAAGTGAAGTTTGATAATATGTCACTAAGATAATTGTTGTGGTAGGGAAGTGGGGGTATATTCTTAGAAGAAGCAGTGCAGAGAACAATTGCATTCAGCTGGTAATAAATAACACTCAGGGCCAGGCACTGCAGAAGCATGGCTCTGGATGATGGGGCACAGAGGGTTTGATCACAGGGAGATTGGTCAGAGAAGCACAAGACAAAAGCATAGGAAATGCTGTAACTGGGAAGCCACAGGGTTGTCTGAAGCTCACTCAGCCCTATAATATAGACATTGGGTCTGCTGGTAGAAAAATATCAATTCTCAGCTCTCCCAGCCTTAGGTAACACTGTGTCTAAATGGCAGTATGTCTTCCTAAGGATTATGAATGACAAGGGGGATGAGAAATGACCAGAACCATCATGCCTCCTCTGCTCCTTCTGTAAAACCTTACTAATGTTTTTATTTTTTATTTTATTTCATTTTTTATTTCCAGTAGGCAATAAGAGAATCTGAAAAGTGATGAAGGAGGAGGATAAGTACTTAGGGAAGAAGATTTTAAAAACTGAAAGGATCTGTTTTAGTTAGAATGGGAAAGATGTTTCCTTGGTTACAGATCTTTATAGGTGGCAGAATTACGGTGAAAACACTTTAAGGAAAATTACTTGATTGCTGGGAGGTGTCAGAGTTTTTCAACAAATATTTCATTGAATAGAAATGGATTGAGCACCTGCTATGTGCAAAGCTTTGAACTGAGTGCTCTGGGGGATATGAACAATTATATTCTATCATTCCCACACCTGAGGAGTTCACACAAAAGCTGAAGAGACAAAGCACACAAAGCAGTGAATTAAATGATAGAACAAGACTTAAATATCCGTACAGAATGCCGTGGCATCAAGAGGGACTCCCCGTCCTCCGGAGTTCCGGACCAGTTGAGAAATATGCCAAATAGAATGCATATAGGGCAATAGATTACCTTTATTTTTAGTAGATGAAAGCTAAATTGAAGTACACACAGCTTAGCACAGTTCTCAGTGAGCCGCTTGACACTGAAGTCCAGAATTAGACTTATATTCTTAGCCATGTGGTGCCTCTGTCCCCATGGAACAGAGAAGAACCACTGTTTGTGGAAGAGCTTGTGTCCAAGAAGAAAAGAGAGGAGCTGAGTCTAAAATCATAAGTTTATTCTTTCCTACTTGGCCCTGAGATGAAGCAAACAAGGCATAAAGGAATATCAATAATTAAGCTCCTTGTTACAGAAGGATTTATCAAGAGTGGGAAAGAGGCATTTCCCTTAACAAAAGATAACAGTATCAGCAGTGAAGAAAGAACATGCAAAGTGACAAAGAAGGATCCAGATTTTAGGGGCTAGAGATAGGAAGGACAAGCTGGGCCACAGCGTGTTGAAAGGATTTTCCCAGGGGAAAGATTTGAGCTGGCTTTTTGTGATGATAACATTTAGATAGGCAAGAAGAAGAGCCTGCTGGTGGGAGTGGGAGGGATGATATGGGCAAAATACTGAGAACACAAGAAAGAATGTAAACCCCAAAGCAGGTGATGACAGTGGAAACTGCAAGAAAGGGTCAAAGTAGCAAATGTTGAGAAGGGGATACCACTGGGGGGAGATAATATGTAGGAGGAGAAAAAAGGAGTATGAATTCAAGGGGAGGGATCTCAGTTCTCCTTTCCCTTTGGGACCATAGTGTGTCAGTTAACCTCTCCAGGACTGTCTCAATTTCCTCATCTGCAAAATGGGAGAATTTGGATAGCTGATTTCTCTAGCCATTGGTTAGCATGGCTGCCACTGTTAAGAGGAGCTATTAAGCTTGTCAGGTAGAACCAATGGCATTCTTCCCAGAAATAGAAAAAAAATTCCAAATTTATATGGAATCACAAAAGACCCAGAATAGTCAAAGCTATCCTGAGCAAAATGTACAAAACTGGAGGAATCACATTACCTAACTTCAAATTACACTACTGAGCTATGGTAACCAAAACAACATGGTACTGGCCTAAAAACAGACACATAGACCAATGGAACATAATGGAGAGCCCAGAAACAAATCCATGCATCTACAGTGAGTTCATTTTCAACAAAGTTGCCAAGAATATACAGTGTGGAAAGGATAGTCTCTTTAATAAATGGTGATGGGAAAACTGGATATCCATATGCAGAAGAATAAAACTAGACCCCTATCTCTCACTGTCTACAAAAATCAAACCAAAATGGATTAAAGATTGAAATTTAAGACCTCAAATTATGAAAGTATGGCAAGAAAATCGTGGGAAAGCTCTCAAGGACATTGGACAGGGCAAATATTTCTTGAGTAATATCCCACAAGCACAGGCAACCAAAGCAAAAATGGACAAATGGGATTATATCAAGTTAAAAAGCTTCTGCACAGCAAAGGATATAATCAACAAAGTGAAGAGATAACCCACAGAATGGGAAAAATATTTACAAACTACTCATCTGACAAGGGACTAACAACCAGACTATAAAAGGAACTCAAACAATTCTATAGGAAAATATCTAATAATCTGATTTTAAAAATTGGGCAAAAGATCTGAATAGACATTTCTCAAAAATGGGACACACAAATGGCAAACAGGCATATGAAAATGTTTTCAACATCATTCATCATCAGAGAAATTCAAATCAAAACTACAAAAAGATACCATCTCACCCCAATTAAAATGGCTTTTATCCAAAGGACAGGCAATAACAAATGCTAGCGAGGATGTGGAGAAAAGAGAACCCTTGTACACTGTTGGTGGGAATGTAAATTACTACAACCACTATGGAGAATGTTTGGAGGTTCCTCATAAAACTAAAAATAGAGCTACCATATGATCCAGCAATACCACTGCTAGATATATACCCAAATGAAAGGAAATCAGTATATCGAAGAGATAGCTGCACTCCCATTTTTATTGCAGCACTATTTACAATAGCCAAGATTTGGAAGCAACATGTGCCCATCAACAGATGGATAAAGAAAATGTGTCACATATAACACTATGGAGTACTATTCAGCCATCAAAAACAATAAGATCCTGTTATCTGCAACAACGTGGATGGAACTGGAGGTCATTACGTTAAATGAAATAAACCAGTCATGGAAAGGCAGACTTCACATGTTCTCACTTATTTGTGGAAGATAAAAATTAAAACACTTGAACCCATGGAGATGGAGAGTAGAAAGAGGATTACCAGAGGCTGGGAAGGGTAGTGGTGGGGAGGGCCAGGCAGGTGGGAGGGAAAAGGTAGGGATGGTTAATGGGTACAAAGCATAGAAAGAATGAATAATATCTAGTATTTTATAGCATAACAGGGTGACTACAGTCAATAATAATTTAATTGCACATTTAAAAATAACTAAAACAGTATAATTGAATTGTTTGTAACACAAAGTATAAATGCTTGAGATGATGGTTACCCTATTTACCCTGACGTGTTTATTAAACATTGTGTGTCTGTCCAAATATCTCATGTACCCCATAAATATATACACCTACTATAAAAATTTAAAAAAAAGATTGTCAAATAGAACCAGAGAGGTAAAGACCAGAACAGACATGTGGCATTCTTCTCTATACCCCTGGGAGATACAGAGATATAGAAGGCTTTCAGGAGTCAGAGGAGGTCTCTGAGAAGGAGGCTGTGTTATATCCCTGAATGCTGCTGACATCTCTGGTGAGGACTAGCCTCTATAGCACATTACACAGACTGAGTGTGGAGGGTGAGGAAGCTGAGTTAAAAAGCTTCTCGGCTTTCAGTGCCTAGGTCTAGTTAAGAAGTACCCAGGGTAGAGCCTGACCCATACCTCAAAGGGCACAGTAGAGAGCCAGGGAGGCCAGTGGAAGTCCGCCTTGTTTTACTTACTCATATTTCCCCAGGCCAACCCACTTTAATACAGATTCATCTCTGGGAAAAGATTTTTCTCTTGCACGCTAAGGTTATGCACTGAGAACATCGATTTAAATCTCTTGGCATTTCTAAATTCATACACCTAGTAAAATTTTGGGAAAAAACATATTCCGTGTAGTGACTGACCTTCAATATCCTTACTGTATTCCCTTGAATAATCAACTTTTTATTACCTTTAGTGCACATTAGTGAGATTTATTACTCACTTTAAAGAAGCTGTCTTTTATCTAAATTTAAAAATGCATATATATTCCATATGATTCTCACCCTAAAGAAGGGGAAAATGGGGCTAAGTGGGGAGAAACCAATCCATAAAATAGTTATTTTCAAATATGATGTACTTGATGCTGTGTGTACAATTGATGGACTTTTAATATGAATTGATACCCAATTTAGCTCAATCACAAACAAATAACCATTCCTTCTTAATATGTAGCAATGAGTGATCTGACAGAGCTGGTCTCACTTCATTTATAATTAATTCATTCATTTATTCCTTGTCAAATATTTAGTGAGCTTTACTGAGCACTAAGTCCTGTGTTAGGTGCTGAGAGTATAATGGTGAGCAAAACAGTTGGGATTTCTTTCTGGAGGTTTAGAATGGTGTGGAGGTGAAGGGAGACAAATGGAGCAAATCTTACAAATATGTAATTACACACTATGAGACTTGCTATAATAGAAAAGTACAGGCTGTTTTAGTAATTTCTAATCAAACCAACAATACATTTCCAAGGTGCAGCAAGGCAGATACCTGTGCCCTCTGTGTTGCAACCTCACTGTGCCTAGCTTTCAATGTGCACTGTCAATCCTTGGTCCTTTTTCTAGAACATTCCATGATACATTTCTCTCTTCTGCTTGGTGAACTCCTATCATCCCTGCAGATCTAGCTCAAATGTTAGTTTCTTGTTAGCTAGCATGAGGTGGCCGCATTGAGCCCACAGTGAAGATGTCCCTTGCCCCAGTTAATTTACAATTGTTCTAATAACCATGTCACCTTAGTTTAGGCCTACAACCTGGCTCTGTTCTGACCTCACTTGGCTCTTTTTCAGACAGGCATCTTCTTAGGCTTGTATCCAGTTCATCTAAAAGCAGTATCAGGTTATTTAAGTATAAATTAAAAATGAGGGATGTGGTTGCCATAAGCCACTTAAGCCTGAAATTAGAGGTCTCAGAATTTTGCTCCTTGGCACTCAGGTTCTGCTCTGTGACTTCATCAAGTGGTCTGGGGGGCACTCCCTTGCTTGTAAGCTTTGGCACACCTCAAATTGTCATTTTAGTTCTGCATTATGATGAACACTCATTCTGACCTCCCTGTATTGAAATCGGGTCTGTAATTATATGTGCCCAATAAATGTCTGCAGAACCAGAAATTTATTTTATGGCCAAGAAATGATTATAGGAGAAAAAAATTACATTCTAGAAAAACCTGTTAAATAGCCAGGAGTTATGTTGTCCTCAGGGAATGAGCCTTCATTGCCCTATCACAAGTAAATGGGATCACAGTCACAGTACCTAAAGAGTGGGCAGGGAGGACCCGTGACCTGGATGCACTTGCACTCTAGCTTGCCTACACAGGCCTGAGGTCTCTTTCCCATGGGTGACAGGTCTCCATCCTGTGCTGAGAGATGAGGCTTGACATAATCATCTTCTTAACGGTGTGGGGCAGGGCCAGGAAAATGTGGGCCATTTGGGACCGTAACCGACAATTATGGACATCCTCTCATGGAAACAAGTTATATTTTGGAGGAGGAGGAAGGCCTAAGGTACCTTGAAGTAGGAAAAGACTTGGGATGCGCATTGGGGAAGGGGAGGGGAGGGCTTTTAGAGGTAGTTTATTAAGTGGCCTCTTGTAGCTAAGTGCCAGCTCTGTTTTCCTGGGGTCCATTTCTCTTGGGAGCTTCAGATATAGCTCAGCTATGTCAGAAGGGATGTGTGGTTTCATTTCTAGGGAGAACAGGGCCTAGGGAGTAAACAAAATAAGGTTCCACCAGACAAAAGCCGCTGTAGAAATGGCTCAGAAAATTTTTAGCAAGCTGTATCCTGTTGTTTTTGTTAAGCACTGCCCCCTACTCTTTCTGTGATAAGCATTTTCAGTGCCTCATCATTCAGAGCCCAAGGCAGTGAGCCGCATGACTCTGTTACAGGTATTCTGTCTGCTCTCTGCAGCCTCTCAGCCATTCCTTCCACACCACCAATTGCTGAGCCATCATTTCCTAGAGTGAGCAAGCTGAGTGCTGCATTGCAGCAGAACCATTTAAAGAACCTGGGAGTACTGTGAGTTCCTGTCATTTCCCTAACCATTTGCATGAGTGTGCCGCACGGGGGCTGTCTGGGTTTCAGGGAACTCAGTGCACAGGTGCAGTGGAAATAGGGACTCTTGCTACGCTGGGAACAGAACTAAGTTATAGTTGGCTGAGGTTTAGAAACTGCACAGGGTAGCAGAAAATAGGAACTTCTATTACATATAGCCCAAGGATCAAAAGGAGCAGCAGCCCAGAGATGGAACGTTGGTCCTTTGTGTTTGGTTCTCTATTTAGCAAAGTAGAGGGTATACTCCGGGTTGTGCCAAGCAGGTGTGAGATTCTGGGGTAAGGCTCGAAGTAGAGTCGCTTCAGCATCTGGCTAGATTGAACTCAGAACCCTAATCCTGGGCAAGTTAATGTGAATTAATCAGTGTTTATCGGGCACCTACTAAGCATGAAATGTTGCTCTGGATTATGCTGAAAAGAGGCAGAAGGATAAAAATTGGTTTCCATGGAATTTGAGGAGAAAAATAAAGTAAGTTTTAATTAAAGTTGTGAGTGTTCACTACTCAGAGTGAGATATGCGAATGAGAAAGAATTCAGGAGGAGAAAGAGAGGAAGAGTACATTAGAGAGGTCTCCCTGAAGGAGGTGGATCTTGGTTAAGCCTTAGAGGATAAGAAGACTTGGGTAGAAAGAAAGTTCTAGCCATGCCAGGCTCCAGAAGCCCCCTGCAGACCCAGAGCCAAGGAGCCTTCTTCCTTGAGGACCTTGGCCTTATATGAAGAACTTAATTCCTCAGCTCCGTGAATTCAGAAATTTTGTAAAAATGAGGCAATGTTAACCCAAAAGATGGCCAGAGGGATATTTTAGTACCATTTAATACAATTATTCAGTGCCATTTTATTCAGTACAAGGAACATTCATTGAGCACAGTCTCTGTGTGGAGCTGTGTAGAACACAGGAGTAAATAAGACTTACTTTGTACCCAAAGAGCATCCAGTTTGCAGAGAAATGTATGCCAGTGGACTGTGAGAGGGGCTGGAGTTGGAACACGAGTGGTTTGCTAAAAAATGAGGGTTTAGAGGCAACAGATCTGGCTCAGGTCCTGGTCCTGCCCCGTTCCTTGGTAGTCTGTTTTTCTAAATTGATTCAAAATAGTTGCACATTTTTATGGGATGCATGTAGTAATTTGATAAATGTATACAATGTGTAATGGTCAAATCAGGATAATTGGGATGTCCATCACCTCAAATATTTATCATTTCTTTGTGCTGTTGGTTGTCTAGTTTTTAACAAATCATTTATCCTCATGGACATTTAGTTTGTATGTATGTAAAATAGGATTAATGATGCCTTTTCCTCTCTTGATATGGGAGCTTGAGATTCAAATGGCATAAAGTATGGAAGGCATTTTGTTAACTGTAAAATGAAACAGTAATGTTGTCATTACTATGCATGTGAGTCACAATATTATTAGAAATGCAGACCTAGCATTTTAGCCATACTTATGGTTTGTGGTTAAAATGTGGTCATCTCTAAGACCTTATATCAAAGCTCTCTCTCTCTTAGGGAGCATTTTGAAAGTCTACTTTGAATTACCTATGGGTCTAAGCAGAGCAAAACTGAATTTCTTTAAAGCGATTCTACCACATCTTTTTGGTAATTTAGGATGGCCTTTGCATATAATTAGTTTGAATTTACATTGCATTATATGCTGTAGATGCAAAATAAAAGAAACATATTCCTGTGTAGAACAGTTTGACAGAGTACGAGAGAAAAGAATGAGAGAAAAAAAGAGGAGGATGGTTAAAAAAATACACAAAAAAGAGCATGGGCACATGAAGCAAATTACACACCCAACAGCAATAGCAGAGAAACCCTGGACCAGGGTCAGACACTAGGATTTTAGTCCTACTCTGCTTCAAGCTCTTGTTACTTGGCTACACCACTTACCTTTTCTGGAGCTCTGTCTTTCTTTCTTCCTTTCCTTCTTTTTTTAAATAACAAAGATTAAGGATTATGACTTCTGCCATCTTGAAAATTGATGATTGTAAACTTAAAGGAAAAGATGACTGAAAGCCATAGTAAAGAACATTGTAATGTCTAATGCAGAAGTCTGGGCCATTGAGGTTAGAGACTCTGAATTTCAATCCAAGTTTGTCCAGTTTCTTGGGTAAGTTTCCATTAGTCATTGGCATTCTGAGCAGTTCTCCGTTCAGAGTGGGTGTAATTATGACTTACTGAATGTGTCCCAGAACAGCCATGAGTTTACGTCTTTGAGACAGCCTGAGCTGCTCAGATGAAAGGTGGCCCACATAAATATGTAGCTAGAGAAGCCTGTGAGGAAGTTGCTCGGTTTTGAGAGATGCTGCTTCAGAAGTTATTTGAAAAAGGCAGGATGGAGGACAGGGTATTCAGCATCAAATAAACTATGAAAGAGAAAAAGAAAATCTAATAAAAAAGAAAGAGAGCCGGGCGCGGTGGCTCACGCCTGTAATCCCAGCACTTTGGGAGGCCGAGGCGGGCGGATCACGAGGTCAGGAGATCGAGACCATCCCGGCTAAAACAGTGAAACCCTGTCTCTACTAAAAATACAAAAAATTAGCCGGGCGTAGTGGCGGGCGCCTGTAGTCCCAGCTACTTGGGAGGCTGAGGCAGGAGAATGGCGTGAACCCGGGAGGCGGAGCTTGCAGTGAGCCGAGATCCCGCCACTGCACTCCAGCCTGGGCGACAGTGCGAGACTCCGTCTCAAAAAAAAAGAAAGAGAGAAAAATGGCAGATAGGAGGTAGGACTAACTTGCAGCTCCTAGTTGGATGGACAGAACAGTGTGTGGAGGCTCACTTCATGAACTTTTGCTCTAAGAACTACTGCAGGAACATACCAGGAAAACCAAAAGAATTCACAGACCTTTTGAAAGAAGTGGCTTGCCACTGCAAACTCCATGAGACAGCCAAAAACACTCAGCTGCAGCAAGCCCCACCCAAGGAGGGTCTGAGCTCAGCTACACCTACTCCTACCCCTACCTGATGGTGTTACTCTACCCACTGTGGTAGCCGAAAACAAAATACATAATCTCTTGGGAGCTCTATGGCCCTGCCTATTGTGTGGGAAACCTGAATGTTTATCCAGGCGACCTTAGGGCAAGCTTGTATCAGCTGATGCTCTCTTGAAAGTGCCACCACCTGGCTGTAGGGAAACCAACTGCTAGCCCAACCAGCATTTGAGAAAACCAGCATACTAAACACAATTACAACCAAGGACCCTCACAGAGTCCACTTCACTCTCCTACAGCCTCCACCAGAGCAGGTGCTGGTATCCAAAGCTGAGAGACATGAACACAGATCATATCACAGGACTCTTTGCAGACATTCCCCAGTACCAGTCTGAAGTCCAGTAGTTTTGCTGGGTGGCTAGACCTAGAAGAGAAATAACAATCACTGAAGTCTAGTTCTCAGGAAGCCCCACCCATAGGGAAATGGGGAGAACACCACATCAAGGGATAACCCAATGGCACAAAAGAATCTGAAAAACCGCCCCTGAGCCCCAGATATTTCCTCTAATATAGTCTACAAAAACGAGAAGGAACCAGAAAAATAATTCTAGTAATATGACAAAGCATGGTTCTTTAACATCCCCCAGAAGATCACACTAGCTCACCAGCAATGAATCCAAACAAAGAATAAATCTCTGAACTGCCAGAAAAAGAATCCAGAAGGTTGATTATTAAGCTACTCATGGAGGCAACAGAGCAAGGTTAAAACCAACTTAAAGAACTTTTAAGAAGTGTCTGTTCATGTCCTTCACCCACTTTTTGATGGGGTTGTTTGTTTTCTTCTTGTAAATTTGTTTGAGTTCATTGTAGATTCTGGATATTAGCCCTTTGTCAGATAAGTAGGTTGCAAAAATTTTCTCCCATTTTGTAGGTTGCCTGTTCACTCTGATGGTAGTTTCTTTTGCTGTGCAGAAGCTCTTTAGTTTAATTAGATCCCATTTGTCAATTTTGGCTTTTGTTGCCATTGCTTTTGGTGTTTTAGACATGAAGTCCTTGCCCATGCCTATGTTCAGAATGGTAAAGCCTAGGTTTTCTTCTAGGGTTTTTATGGTTTTAGGTCTAACGTTTAAGTCTTTAATCCATCTTGAATTGATTTTTGTATGAAGTGTAAGGAAGGGATCCAGTTTCAGCTTTCTACATATGGCTAGCCAGTTTTCCCAGCACCATTTATTAAATAGGGAATCCTTTCCCCATTGCTTGTTTTTCTCAGGTTTGTCAAGGATCAGATAGTTGTAGATATGTGGCGTTATTCCTGAGGGCTCTGTTCTGTTCCATTGATCTATATCTCTGTTTTGGTACCAGTACCATGCTGTTTTGGTTACTGTAGCCTTGTAGTATAGTTTGAAGTCAGGTAGTGTGATGCCTCCAACTTTGTTCTTTTGACTTAGGATTGACTTGGCGATGCGGGCTCTTTTTTGGTTCCATATGAACTTTAAAGTAGTTTTTTCCAATTCTGTGAAGAAAGTCATTGGTAGCTTGATGGGGATGGCATTGAATCTGTAAATTACCTTGGGCAATATGGCCATTTTCACGATATTGATTCTTCCTACCCATAAGCATGGAATGTTCTTCCATTTGTTTGTATCTTCTTTTATTTCCTTGAGCAGTGGTTTGTGGTTCTCCTTGAAGAGGTCCTTCACATCCCTTGTAAGTTGGATTCCTAGGTATTTTATTCTCTTTGAAGCAATTGTGAATGGGAGTTCACTCATGATTTGGCTCTCTGTTTGTCTGTTGTTGGTGTATAAGAATGATAAAACACATGAAAAAATGCTCACCATCACTGGCCATCAGAGAAATGCAAATCAAAACCACAATGAGATACCATCTCACACCAGTTAGAATGGCAATCATTAAAAAGTCAGGAAACAACAGGTGCTGGAGAGGATGTGGAGAAATAGGAACACTTTTACACTGTTGGTGGGACTGTAAACTAGTTCAACCATTGTGGAAGTCAGTGTGGCGATCCCTCAGGGATCTAGAACTAGAAATACCGTTTGACCCAGCCATCCTGTTACTGGGTATATACCCAAAGGACTATAAATCATGCTGCTATAAAGACACATGCACACGTATGTTTATTGCGGCATTATTCACAATAGCAGACTTGGAACCAACCCAAATGTCCAACAAGGATAGACTGGATTAAGAAAATGTGGCACATATACACCATGGAATACTATGCAGCCATAAAAAATGATGAGTTCATGTCCTTTTTAGGGACATGGATGAAATTGGAAATCATCATTCTCAGTAAACTATCGCAAGAACAAAAAACCAAACACCGCATAGTCTCACTCATAGGTGGGAATTGAACAGTGACAACACATGGACACAGGAAAGGGAACATCACACTCTGGGGCCTGTTTTGGAGTGGGGGGAGGGGGAGGGATAGCATTGGGAGATATACCTAATGCTAGATGACGAGTTAGTGGGTGCAGCGCACCAGCATGGCACATGTATACATATGTAACTAACCTGCACATTATGCACATGTACCCTAAAACTTAAAGTATAATAATAAAATAAAATAAAATAAAAATAATGACATGCATGTGAAAAAAAAAGAAATTTAAAAAATGATACACGGTATGGATGAAAAAATCACCAGAGAAGTAGATAGCATAAACAAAAAACAACCAAAACTTCTGGAAATGAAAGACACACTTAGAGAAATGCAAAATACACTGAAAAGTCTAAACAATAGAATTGAACAAGTAGAAGGGAGAACTTCAGAGCTCAAAGACAAGGCTTTCAAATTAATCCAATCTGACAAAGACAAAGAAAAAAGAATAAAAAAATGAACAAACCCTCCAAGAAGTTTGGGATTATGGTAAATGATCAAATCTAAGAACTACTGGTGTTTGTGAGAAAGAAGAGAAATCTAAAAGTTTGGAAAACTTACTTGAGGGAATAATTGAGGAAAATTTCCCTGGTCTTTCTAGAGACCTAGACATCTAAATACAAGAAGTTCAAAGAACACCCAGGAAATTCATTGCAAAAAGATGATCACCTGGGCACATAGTCATCAGATTATCTAAAGTCAAAGTGAAGGAAAGAATCTTAAGAGCTGTGAAGTAAAAGTGTTGGGTAACCTATAAAGGACAACCTATTAGATAAATAGTGGACTTCTCAGTGGAAACCCTAGAAGTTAGAAGGGATCAGGGTCCTATCTTTAGTATTTTTAAACAAAACAATTATCAGCCAAAAATTTTGTATCCAGAGAAACTAAGCTTCATAAATGAAGGAAAGATACAGTCTCTTCCAGACAAATAAATGCTGAGAAAGTTTGCCACTACCAAGCCAGCACTACAAGAACTGCTAAAAGGAGTTCTAAATCTTAAAAGAAAACCTCAAAATACACCAAAATAGAACCTTCTTTGAGCATAAATCTCACAGGGCCTACAAAACAATAACACAATGAAATGGCCTAAATGTTTCATTTAAAAGATACAGAATGGCAGAATGGATAAGAATTCACCAACCAAGTATCTTCTGTCTTTAAGAAGCTCATGTAACACTTAAGGACTCACATAAACTTCAGGTAAAGGAGTGAAAAAAGATATTCCATGCAAAAGGACACCAAAAGTGAGCAGGAGTAGCTATTATCAGACAAAACAGATTTTAAAGCAACAACAGCTCAAAAGACAAAAAGGGACATTATATAATGATAAAGTCTAGTCCAACAGGAAAATATCACAATCCTAAATATATATATATATTCACCCAACACTGGAACACCCAAATTTATAAAACAATTACTAATAGACCTAAGAAATGATAGAGACAGCAACACAATAATAGTGGTGGACTTCAATACTCTACTGACAGCACTAGACTGGTTATCAAGACAGAAAGTCAACCCGGGAACAATGAACTTAAATTATACCTAGAACAAATAGACTTAACAGATATTTACAGAACATTCTACCTAACAACTGCAGAATATACATTTTTTTCATCAGCACATGGAACATTCTACAAGACAGACCATATAACGGGCCACAAAACAAGTCTCAATACATTTAAGAAAAACATCAAGTACTCTCTGAGACCACAGTGGAATAAAATTGAAACCAACTCCAAAAGGAACCCTTAAAACTATACAAATACATGGAAATTATAATAAGTAACCTGTTTCTGAATGATCTTTGGGTCAAAAATGAAATCAAGATGGAAATTAAAAAGTTCTTCGAACTGGACGATAATAGTGACAGAGCCTATCAAAATCTCTGGGATACAGCAAAAGCAGTACTAAAAGGAAAGTTTATAGCATTAAATGCCTATGTCAAAAAGGCTGAAAGAGCACAAATAGACAATCTAAGGTTACACTTCAAGGAACAAGAGAAACAAGAACAAACCAAACAAGAACAAACCAAACCCAAACCCAGCAGAAGAAAAGAAGTAACAAAGATCAGAGCAGAACTAAGTGAAATTGAACCAAAAAAGAATACAGAAGATAAATGAAACAAAAAGCTGGTTCTTTGAAAAGATGAATAAAATTGATAGACCATTAGCAAGATTAACCAAGAAAAGAAGAGAGAAGATCCAAATAAGCTCAATTTGAAATGAAACAAGAGATATTACAACAGATACCACAGAAATACAAAAGATCATTGAAGGCTACTATGAACACCTTTACATGCATAAACTAGAAAACCTAGAGGAGATGGATACATTCCTGGAAATATACAACCTTCCTAGATTAAACCAGGAAGAAATAGAAACTCTGAACAGACGAATAACAAGCAGCAAGATTGAAATGGTAATAAAAACCTGCTAACAAAAAAAGTCCAGGACAAGACAGATTCACAGCTGAATTCTATCAGACATTCAAAGAAGAGCTGGTACCAATCCTATTGAAACTATTACAAGAGACAGAGAAAGAGGGAATCCTCCCTAACTCATTCTGTGATGCCATATCACCTTAATATCAAAACCAGGAAAGAACATAACAACAAAAAAGAAAACTATAGACCAATATCCCTGATGTAAAAAATCCTCAACAAAATGCTAGCTAACTGAATCCAACAGCATATCAGAAAGATAATCCACCATAATCATATGGGTTTCATACCAAGGATGCAGGCATGGCTTAACATATGCAAGTCAAATGTGATATATCAAATAAACAGGATTAAAAACAAAAAATCACATGATCATCTCAATAGAAGCAGAAAAAGCGGTTGACAAAATGCAGCATCCCTTTATGATTAAAACCCTAAGCAAAATTGGCATAGAAGGCACATACCTTAAGGTAATTAAAACCATCTATGACAGACCCACAGCCAACATTATACTGAACAGGGAAAAGTTGAAAGCATTCCCCCTGAGAATTGGAACAAGAAAAGGATGCCCACTTTCACCACTTCTATTCAACATAGTACTGGAAGTCCTAGCCAGAGCAATCCTACAAGAGAAGGAAATAAAGGGCATCCCAATCAGTAAAGAGGAAGTAAAACTGTTGCTGTTTGCCAATGATATGATTGTATACCTAGAAAACCCTAAAGACCTATCCAAAAAGCTCCTAGATATGACAAACAAATTCAGTAAAGTTTCAGGATACAAAATCAATGTACACAAATCAGTAGTTGGCTATACACCAACAACATCCAAGCTGAGAATCAAATCAAGAACTCAACCGCTTTTACAATAGCTGCAAAAAAAGAAACTTAGGAATATAAGTGACCAAAGTGGTGAAAGATCTTTACAAGGACAATGATAAAACACTTCTGAAAGGAATCATAGACACAAACAAATGGAAACACATCCCATGCTCATGGATGGGTAGAATCAATATTGTCAAAATGACCATACTGCCAAAAGCAATCAATGAATTATAAAACTACCATCATCATTCTTCACAGAACTAGAAAAAAAAATCATAAAATTGAGATGGAACCCAAAAAGAGCCTGCATAGCCAAAGCAAGTCTAAGCAAAAAGAATAAATCTGGAGGCATTACATTACCCATTTTCAAAATATACTATAAGGCTATAGTCACGAAAATAGCATGGTATTGGTATAAAAATAGGCATATAGATCAATGGAACAGAACAGAGAATTCAGAAATAAAGCCAAATACTTACAGCCAACTGATCTTTAACAAAGCAAACAAAAACATAAAGTGGGGAAAAGGACACCCTATTCAACAAATGGTGCTGGGATAATTGGCTAGCTGCATGTAGAAGAAGGAAACTAGAACCTCATCTCTCACCTTATACAAACAAACAAAAACTCAAGATGGATCAATGACTTAAATCCTAGACCTGAAACCATAAAAATTCTAGAAGATAACATCAGAAAAACCCTTCTAGACATTGGCTTAGGCAAAGACTTCATGATCAAGAACCAAAAAACAAATATAACAAAAAGAAAGATAAATAGATGGGACTTAATTAAACTAAAAAGCTCTGCACAGCAAAAGTAATCATCAGCAGAGTAAATAGACAAACCTCAGAGAGGGAGAAAATCTTCACAGACTATGTATCCAACAAAGGACTAATACCCAGGGTCTACAAGGAACTCAAACAAATGAGCAAGAAAAAAATGAATAATCCCATCAAAAAGTGGGCTCAGGACATGAGTAGACAATTTGCAAAAGGAGGTATACAAATGTCCAACAAACATACGAAAAAATGCTCAACATCACTAATGATCAGGGAAATGCAAATTAAAACCACAATGTGATACCATCTTACTCCTGCAACAATGGCCATAATCAAAAAATCAAAAAATAATAGATGTTGGTGTGGATGTAGTGAAAAGGGAACACTTTTACACTGCTGGTGGGAAGGTAAACTAGTACAACTACTATGGAAAACAGTATGGAGATTCCTTAAAAAACTAAAAGTGGATCTACCATTTGATCCAGCAATCCCACTCCTGGATATCTACCCAGAGAAAAAGAAGTCATTATATGAAAAAGACACTTGTACACACATGTTTATGCACCACAATTTGCAATTGCAAAAATATGGAACCAGCCCAAATGCCCATCAATCAATGAGTGGAAAAAGAAAATGGAATACTACTCAGCCATAACAAGGAACGAAATAATAGCATTTACAGCAACCTGGATGGACTTGGAGACCATTATTCTATGTGAAGCAACCCAGGAATGGAAAATCAAACATCATATGATCTCACTTATAAGTGGGAGCTAAGATATGACGATGCAAAGGCATAAGAATGAGACAACAGACTTTGGGACCATGGGGGGAAGTGTGGAAGGGGGGTGAAGGATAAAAGACTACACATTGGGTACAGTGTACACTGCTTGGGAGATGGGTGCACAAAAATCCCAGAAATTGCCCCTAAAGAAATTACCCATGTAGCCAAACACCACCTGTTCCCCCAAAATCTATAGAAAAAAACCAAAAATCTATGGGAGGTTAAAAAAATAAACAGAAACGACAAAGAGGGAGCAATGCTGAAAAAAATCATAAATTATTTTAGTGTTTCATAAACAAAAGAATGTGAATATAGTGCAGTCACATCAACATGTGACATTATTGGCATGGTTCTACACAGATGTTTAAAGTTTTAAATAATCAGAATTTATAAAGCATCTAGCATTTTCATTGCTAAAGGAATTTTGCTGTCAGGCAAGTTTTTAAAAAATAAGTCCAGTTATTTTATTCTGTAGAAATCCTTCTTCCATTTTAACAGCCTTCTAGTCTACAACCCAAAGCAAATGGCTCAAGGAAATGTTGGTAGGGTTAAGATGTTTGTGGCACATTCCCATTTGTAATGGTAAATTCTGAGCATTACTTTTCACTCACTAATTCTGGACCAGTTTCCAAGAGATCCAGAAGAAGAATATAGCTCCTCCTCCTCTTCATTGAATAAGGAACAATTTTAACACTCAAGAGCTCCTAAGTGGGAAAAAATATAATTTGTATAAGTCAAACCCTCTGGTCACAATGAAATAAAACGAGAAACAGTAACAGAAGTTAACCCAAAATTCCAGTGTCCAAGATTGATAAACCATACCCAAACAAAACCAACTCTTCCAAATAACACTTGGCAAGAGAATACATCAAAACCACAATTACATTCCGTTTAGAAATTAATAATGACAGTGCTACATATAAAATCTTATAGAATAAAGCTACAGTTGTAAACAGAAAAATCAATGGCATTTATTATGTTTATTACTAAAGAAAGCAATTACCTAGAAAGTAGTCACTGGCTTTCTACTGATCAAAGATTGCAGAAGATTTATTATTAGAAAATTAAACTAAAATGATACACACTCACATGCCAAAATTGAGAAACTGTTAAGTAGTAAAGCCAAATTGTGGGTCCTTGTCTCCAGACACTAAGTTCCTGCCAACACATTTTTCTGCCTCTCTTTAGGAATGGTTGGATGTTTATCCACAGACTTCCATCCATCTGGACTAAGTACAGACAAATAGCTCTGTTTTCCATCTTCACAGAGGGTCACTGTGAAGCCAGCTGGGATTTACATGCACATAGAAAGCTACCTTCCCCATTGTCAATTGTGAAGTAGGTAAACCTGTTTCTAGTGTTTGCCAATCTTTTTTTTTTTTCTAAGTGTCTTTCTCTGTTCCTGCTGGTACAACAAAATACTTAAGATTAAATACTTTATAAAAAACAGAAAATTTGTTTCTCAAAATTCTTAAGTCTGGAAGCCCAAGATCAAGGTATCCACGCATTCCGTGTCTGCTGAGGGCCACATCTCTGCATCCAAGATGATGCCTTGTTTCTACATCCTCATGTGGTAGAAGGCAGAGGGCAGAGGGCCTGGCTAGTTCCCTCCAGTCCTTTTATAAGGTCTCTAATCTCTTTCGTGAATGCTCTGCCCTCATGACTTAATCACCTTCTAAGCCTCTACCTCTTAATACTATCATATTGGGGCTTAAGTTCTAATGTATGACTTTTGGGGAACACATTCAGATCATAGCACTGAGCTTCTTATGTCTCCGATCCTACTTACCCCAGCTCCTCAGCTTCCAAAGGTGTTTATGCTTCTCTGCCTGTTTCAAAAGTTTAATATCTAAAAAAAAATCTAAGAATCTAAAATGTATGCAATCAGAAATATATAGGACCATCACCTTTTCTTTTCTGTTATCACTCAGAAATTTATGGGGACATTTTAGGCAATAGTCTGTGATGGGAGAAGAATAAATTTCTTAATTTATGCCAGAAAGACAGTCTCCTGGTCTACCAATAGATTTCTTGATCATGTACATGCTGCCCAGGAGAAAATGAAACTCTGAAACCCTGAGATCAGCTTAATTGTTAACTCATTGTGTTAACTGCTGACTGTGTCTTTCTCCATCTGAAACTTGATTTTTTTATTATTATTATGATACTTTAAGTTCTGGGATACATGTGCAGAATGTACAGGTTTGTTACATAGGTATACATGTGCCATGGTGGTTTGCTGCACCCATCAACCCGTCATCTACATTAGGTATTTCTTCTAATGCTATCCCTCCACAGCCCTCTACCATCTGACAGGCCCTGGTGTGTGATGTTCCCCTCCCAGTGTCCATGTGTGTTCTTATTGTTCAACTCCCACCTATGAGTGAGAATATGAGGTGTTTGGTTTTCTGTTCCTGTGTTAGTTTGCTGAGAATGATGGTTTCCAGCTTCATCCATGTCCCTGCAAAGGACATGAGCTCATCCTTTTTTATGGCTGCATAGTATTCCATGGTGTATATGTGCCACATTTTCTTTATCCAGTCTATCATTGATGGGCATTTGAGTTGGTTCCAAGTCTTTGCTATTATGAATAGTGCCACACTAAACATACATGTGCATGTGTCTTTATAGTAGAGTGATTTATAATCCTTTGGATATATACCCAGTAATGGGATTGCTGGGTAAAATTGTATTTGTAGTTCTAGATCCTTGAGGAATCGCCACACTGTCTTCCACAATGGTTGAACTAATTTATACTCCTACCAACAGTATAAAAGCATTCCTATTTCTCCACATCCTCTCCAGCATCTGTTGTTTCCCAACTTTTTAATGATCACCATTCTAACTGGCATGAGATGCTATCTCATTGTGGTTTTTCTTTGCATTTCTCTGATGGCCAGTGATGATGAGCTTCTTTTCATATGTTTGTTGGCTGCATAAATGTCTTCCTTTGAGAAGTGTCTGTTCATATCCTTCACCCACTTTTTGATGGAGTTGTTTGTTTTTCTCTTGTAAATTTGTTTAAGTTCCTTGTAGATTCTGGATATAAGCCCTTTGTCAGATGAATAGATTGCAAAAATTTTCTCCCATTCTATAGGTTGCCTCTTCACTCTGATGATAGTTTCTTTTGCTGTGCAGAAGCTCTTTAGTTTAATTAGATCCCATTTGTCAATTTTGGCTTTTGTTGCCATTGCTTTTGGTGTTTTAGTCATGAAGTCTTTGCTCATGCCTATGTCCTGAATGGTATCGCCTAGATTTTCTTCTAAGGTTTTTATGGTCTTAGGTCTTATGTTTAAATCTTTAATCCATTTTGAGTTAATTTTTGTATAAGGTGTAAGGAAGGGGTCCAGTTTCAGTTTTCTGCATATGGCTAGCCAGTTTTCCCAACACCATTTATTAAATAGGGAATCCTTTCCCCATTTCTTGCTTTTGTCAGGTTTGTCAAAGATCAGATGGTTGTAGATGTGTGGTGTTATTTCTGAGGCCTCTGTTTTGTTCCATTGGTCAATATATCTGTTTTGGCACTAGTACCATGCTGTTTTTGTTACTGTAGCCTTGTAGTGTAGTTTGAAGTCAAGTAGCATAATGTCTCCAGCTTTGTTCTTTTTGCTTAGGATTTTCTTGGCTATATGGCTCTTTTTTGGTTCCACTTTTTTGGTTTAAAGTAGTTTTTTCTAATTCTGTGAAGAAAGTCAATGGTAGCTTGATGGAAACAGCATTGAAACTGTAAATTACTTTGGGCAGTATGGTTATTTTTATGATATTGATTCTTCCTATCCATGAGCATGGAATGATTTTTACATTTGTTTATGTCCAAGCAGACCTAATAGACATCTACAGAACTCTCCATCCCAAATCAACAGAATATACATTGTTCTCAGCACCTCATAGCACTTATTCTAAAATTGACCACATGATTGGAAGTAAAACTCTCCTCAGCAAATGCAAAAAACGGAAATCATAACCAACAGTCTCTCAGACCACATTGCAATCAAAGTAGAACTCAAGATTAAGAAACTCACTCAAAACCGCACAACTACATGGAAACTGAACAACCTACTCCTGAATGGCTACTGGGTAAATAACGAAATTAAGGCAGAAATAAATAAGTTATTTGAAACCAATGAGAACAAAGACACAATGTACCAGAATCTCTGGGACACAGATAAAGCAGTGTTTAGAGGGAAATTTATAGCACTAAATGCCCACAGGAGAAAGTGGGAATGATCTAAAATCAACACCCTAACATCACAATTAAAAGAACTAGAGAAGCAAGAGCAAACAAATTCAAAAGCTAGCAGAAGACAAGAAATAACTAAAATCATAGCAGAACTGAAGGAGATAGAGGCACGAAAAACCCTTCAAAAAATCAAGGAAACCAGGAGCTGGTTTTCTGAAAAGATTAACAAAATAGATAGACCACTAGCCAGACTAATAAAGAAGAAAAGAGAGAAGAATCAAATAGACACAATAAAAGTGATAAAGGGGATATCACCACTGATCCCACAGAAATACAAACTACCATCAGAGAATACTATAAACACCTCTACGCAAACAAACTAGAAAATCTAGAAGATATGGATAAATTCCTGAACACATACACCCTCCCATGACTAAACCAGGAAGAAGTCAAATCCCTGAATAGACCAATAACAAGTTCTGAAATTGAGGCAATAATTAATAGCCTACTAACCAAAAAAAGCCAAGGACCAGATTCACAGCCGAATTCTACCAGAGGTACTGAGAAGAGCTGGTACCATTCCTCCTGAAACCATTCCAAACAATAGAAAAAGAGGGACTCCTCCTTAACTCATTTTATGAGGCCAGCATCATCCTGATACCAAAACCTGGCAGAGACACAACAAAAAACGAAAATTTCAGGCCAATATCCCTGATGAATATTGATGCAAAAATCCTCAATAAAATACTGGCAAACCGAATCCAGCAGCACTTCGAAGAGCTTATCCACCACGATCAAGCTGGCTTCATCCCTGGGATGCAAGGCTGGTTCAACATACACAAATCAATAAACATAACCCATCACATAAACAGAACCAATGACAAAAACCACATGATCATCTCAATAGATGCAGAAAAGGCCTTTGATAAAATTCAACACCCCTTCATGCTAAAAACTCTCAATAAACTAGGTATTGATGGAGTTTATCTCAAAATACTAAGAGCTATTTATGACAAACCCACAGCCAATATCATACTGAATGGGCAAAAGCTGGAAGCATTCCCTCTGAAAACTGGCACAAGACAAGGATGCTCTCTCTCACCACTCCTATTCAACATAGTATTGGAAGTTCTGGCCAGGGCAATCAGGCAAGAGAAAGAAATAAAGGGTATTCAAATAGGAAGAAAGGAAGTCAAATCGTCTCTGTTTTCAGATTACATGATTGTATATTTAGAAAACCCCATTTTCTCAGCCCAAAATCTTCTTAAGCTGATAGGCAATTTAAGCAAAGTCTCAGGATACAAAATCAATGTACAAAAATCACAAGCATTCCTATACACCAATAACAGACAAACAGAGAGCCAAATCTTGAGTGAACTCCCATTCACATTTGCTACAAAGAGAATAAAATACCTAGGAATACAACTTACAAGGGATGTGAAGGACCTCTTCAAGAAGAACTACAAACCACTGCTCAAGGAAGTAAGAGATGAAACTTGATTTTTTAAATCTATAAAATGAGAAAGCTTTACTAGATTGGGATTATAACTTTGTGACATTCTGTAATACACAATGATGGCTTTATAGCACATCTAATATCTTGGACAGGAAGTCCTGGCATTTCAAAATAATTTCTATCCTTTCTCCAACATATGTGGTTTTTTAAATCAATGATGTATATATGTGAACAGATGTAGAAATATTAAAAAAGGAGTTTCCATAACATTAGGCTTATCTTGGCCTCGTGCATTAGTGCAGTGATGAGCACAGGTTATGTAGGGCCTCCCCAGTACCTAACAGTCTATTGGTGAATGAAATTGTTGTAACAAGGAACAAATTTTTTACTTTATAGAGAGATTAGAAAAGAGCTGAGGAGAGGAGAGAGGCTTCAATGCCTACACACAGAGCAACTCATATCTGCTTAGGTGCTCCCATTAATGGGGAAGATCAGCTGGGCAGTTTTCTGGAGCACTAGTGTATAAGACACAGAATGCTCAACATCACTAGAATAAAAGGGCTGAATGTAAATTCTTCTCACTCCCATTTACATTAAAAATGCTATCCAGTGGAAATTTTCTTGCGCTCTTTAAGTAGGAGAAGGGGTAATAGCACATTGATTGTTGTGCAACATGCACGTGCATTCATCTTTGGCATTCCGAGTCAGCTGGAGTTTTGAAAGCCAATAATGCAGGCTATGCTTCTGTTTATTGGGAATTAATGACTTACTGTGTTATCTAAATTCCACACCTTTAATAAGATTCTGAAGATGTGTCTGGTTTAAAAAATTACAAGGACATGAACTGCAAGAAAGTGAAGGTACTGTTTTGATAATATTTTTCAGAAATTAAATATTCTTCAGACATTAGAAGTGGATGAATAATTAAATCTGTTTCTACATATAGTTCTTAGTAGTACAAAATGCGTTGTTGCTTTGTTCCCACTAGAAAAATATTAAACACATAGGAAAGAAATATTGGTTTGAAAGGGGTCCAAGACTTCTATATTTTTCAGTTTGTTTCTGACGTCGTGTGTCTGGTAAGGTGTGATTGACAGTGACAGCCACCCTTACTCACAGCCTCACCAGAGGAAATGCGGAGGCCTAGAATCCTTAGTTTCTCTGTCCTCCACTCTGCACTCTGGTCCTAGCTGCTACCTCTCAGGAGGCTAGACTTTGGTATCTTTGATATTTCTTAGAGCTTGCCAAAAGTCAAGAGAATTCTTGCCTGCCAACCTAATTTGTCTTTAATGACGAAGTGTTGGTCCGTGTCCTTTCCCTCGACAGGAGCTTTTTGTGGCCAATTTGGCATAGGGCAC